>NC_000013.11:88677221-88980251 GCF_000001405.40 Homo sapiens | reverse complement strand
CATTGCTACATAGTACAGATCATCAATTTTTCAGGATCCATAGTGGTAATACGATCATTTTGCAGGCCTCTGTTAACCCACACAATATATTTTATGGGATTTTTATTATGATAGAACTCCATTTTAAACTACTGATTCCTGTATCAGATTGACATTGTTGGAATGATGCTGTATAACAATCTCAAACCTCAATGGTTTAAAACAGTAACGTTTATTACCCCCTAGAGGGTGCAGGTCAGACATTGTTCCTGTCTGTGTGGGTGTGCAGTTCTTCTAAGCTTGGCTCACTCTCACATCTGTCCAGCAGCCAGTTTTCTGTCAGATTGTGTGACAGGATGATTATTGTGTTTCTCACTCTCACTTGTGTTTCTCACTCTTGAGATGTGGGTACAGGCATGTTATCTGGCAGTAACATAGCTTCAAAAGTCGAAGCAAAATCCCCTACTTATATGAAATTGGCTTTTATAACATTGCGAAAACAAGCCCAATGCCTGAATTCAAATTCTTCATATTTAAGCAGTGGAAAAACAAACGCTGCCTCTCCTTAGTGAGACAGCTTGCAAAGTCACATGGTAAAGTTCATGGCGAAAGGAGAGGAACTGGGACCAGGAATTTAAAGAATCCACATCTTTCTTTACTAAATAAGAGTAAGTGCATCGCATGCCCTAGGGTGTGTCTAGCATTCTCCTATGTTGTTTCCTAGTGTGCACTGCAATTTTGAACTTAATAGATTTTCGTCCTGGGAGTTTTTGTTAACATTGGACCCTTAGATCCATCTACTTCATAATTTCTGGACTACCATGGACATTTATCATTGTAGGCATTGTAGAATTATTGGAGTATTTATGTGAGATTGTAATGAGCGTATAGAAGACTTAAGACTTACCATGGGGCAAGCACTGAATTATCTCAATCAGATGCTACATAAAGATTAAAGGGACCAATGAGCAAATGTGATCACAAAGCATCTCTTCCAGAGTAGAATTCTAAGAGGAGCAATAGGAGTGAAGCACTATATGAGAAATAGGTTGGCACTCATTTCAAGGACAGTGTACAATTATAATTTAAAAGGCCATTAAATCAGTCAGCAGCTTCTGCAACTAAAGGTTAAGATACCTACCCAGTGCTGCAAGACTCTTTAATTTATCATTGTCAACATTTTATTATAGATATTATAGTATAAATTGATATACAATGGAATCAAGGAAATTTGTCATTCATCTCAGAAATAGCCAATTGAACAAAAACATAAAAACAAACAACAAAAAATCCACTCCAGATTTAGAAGAGATGGCACAGCAGTTGAAAATCTGTGAAAAGACACAAGAATAAACCATTTAGAATAATGGATTAATGAGGCAGGTGAAAGCTCTCTGTGATGGTCAGGTACTTCCAGCTTAAGCATTTGGATGTATCTATTGCATAAGAGAATGTACCTATCAAATAAGGTGGTAAAAATTTTGAACTTGGCCGTGCAGTTGCTGTGGCAGATGCAGCCCCTACTGGCCTCGAGTGCTGAGTGGGAGGGCAAGGGATGGCTACTTCTATTCAGCACTGCCATGCAGAGAACTACTGGTGAGGACTGCAGTTCTGAGGACCCCCCTGATGAGCTTGGGTGCTCTCTTGCTGAATGGGCCTTAAGGGTGAAAGCTGTTAAACTGGAGAAGGAAGTCCAGGATTTAACGATGAGATACCAGAGAGCTGTAGCTGACTGTGAAAACATAAGGAGGGGAACCCAGAGATGTGTGGAAAACTCCAAGATATTTAGAATCCAGAGTTTCTGTAAGATCTTGGTGGAGGTGTCCACATTTTGGAGAAGACTACAGAGTGCATTTCTGAAGAATCAGACCCTGTGGACCAGAAGCTCACTCTGGAGAAGGTCTTCCAAGGGTTGTCACTTTTTACTACCTTATCAAATAAGGTAGCAAAAAGTTAAAAAGAAACACGTGCCTTCTGGGGTAATTACTGACTAGTCATTATTAGGGATATACACTATTTTATAGAGGAAAAACAATTTTTAAATGTCACAAAGGCCACACAGAACTTCTGAACAGAAAGAGAAAAATAAAGGAGAGGAAAAAACAGAAGGAGAAAAAAAAAAGCAGAGTTGTTAAATTATGTAGCTCTATCACAAGCAAAACATTGAATGAAATAAGGTAGATATAAAAGAGTATAAATATGTAGTACTTCATTGATATAAAGTTAAAATATATAAGCAATATTAATATACTGTGTCAGAAACTATGTTAGTCGAGATTCCAAGCCAACATATGCTAAGCAAAGGCAGATAGGAGGAAACTTTTTAAGTTTGTTATCATGTTATTAATATTGTTGTCGGTTTCCCAGATGTGTTTCATTTGTTAGAATTAATTTAGCTGTATGCTTTTCACTTTGTACTTTTTGATAACTATACAATGCGTCTCAAAAAATGTTAATTACACATTCCCACAATAAATTACCATTTTTATACCCATAGTTTGGGAAAAAGTTAAAACTGTGATATAGCAAGAAGTAGGAGATAATGTAGTTAACGTACTATTTTGTTAAAAGTCCGCATTATTCAATAAGGTCAAAAATACACATGCATATGATAATAAAATTCTACCGATTGGTACATATCCTAAATGATCTCTGAGGTATGTGCCATATGAAATGTGTATATGAATATTCATATCTCATATCTCATAATAACAGAAAAAAAGCAAAAAATTGTTGATGAAATATTATTTGGATTCATAATATGTGTTATAATCAAGTGGTGATATACAATATTACAATGAAATTAATAAGTAACACTTTTACAACCCAAGTTGAATAAATCTATAAAACATAATGTTGACAAAAATAAGCAAGTCATGAACTAATGTAAATAAGATGTTTACATTTATATAAATTTCAAAATCAAGCAAATTATTAAACTAGTTAATGCACAAGAGCTTATATATATGGTAAATTGATAAAGCATAGTGCAGAAATAAATATACAAAAATACCATATAGGTTACCTCTAGGGATGAAATGAGTGATTTTGATACAACTGAGAGGGACATATATATAGGTACTTAAAGATAATAGTAATGTTATACTTGCGAATTGGTAAATAGTGTTTATGAACATTCACTTTATTAATTACTCTTTAAAGTGTGCCTATGGATATAAATAATCCCTCTTGAATAATTGATATTAACACTTTAATAATCTTTACATTTGTCAGTTGAGAAAAATGACAAGTCTCAATCCTTTTAGAAGATTTATTTGCCAAAGTTGAGGACACGGCTGGGAGACAGATCTATGCCTTTCTCCCAAGATGATTTTGAGGGCTCCAAATTTAAAGGGGAAAGGGTGCAATATTGAGAAGTACACAATTTTCATGTAAGAAGGAGGTAGAGAAAAATAGTCACTCATGCTTTTGTCTGGCTCAGTGAATCTGCATTTTTTACATAAGATGACATAAAGAAAAGTGGCAGAAAAAAAATGAGAGGAATCTACATTTTACATAAGATAACACAGACAGAACGGGACAGGAGAACAATCAGATATGCATTTTTGTCTGGTGTTGCGGGGAGGGAGGGCCTGGACTTGTAAATATAAGTTATCAATCTGCATTGCCATAGTGAAATTGCAACAGCTCACTGGGAATTTCCTTGGGAGCAAAATGTGAGGGAGGCGTGTTGCTTTTCATTTGTAGCCACCTTATTTACGAACCAAAAAGGGGGAGGTAGGTTTGCATGACACACTTCCCAGCTTGACTTTTCCTTTTGGCTAAATAAGTGTGGGGCCCCAAGATTTAATTTCCTTTCACACATTAAAACTTCATAAAATTTATGTCAAAAATGTAAATGAATTTAAAGCTCCATTTTTACATATAGAAATGTGGAACAAAAGGAAGCAAAAAATGTACATAGATAAATAACAAAAATACATTGAGGGCAGGTGCGGTGGCTCACGCCTGTAATCCCAGCACTTTGGGATGCCAAGGTGGGTGGATCACTTGTCAGGAGTTCAAGACCAGCCTGGCCAATATGGAGAAACCCTGTCTCCACAAAAAATACACACAAAAAAATTAACCAGGCGTGGTGGCCCATGTCTGTAATCCCAGATACTCGGGAGGCTGAGGCACGAGAATCGCTTGAACCTGGGAGGCAGAGGTTCCAGTGATCCGAGATCATGCCACTGCACTCCAGTCTGGGTGGCAGAGCGAGACTCAGTCTCGAAAATAAAATAAAATAAATAAAAATAAATTGAAAAGCACTTCACCAAACAATCACAAAATAATACCATCAATACTAAGTGTATGTACTCTTACTCTGTGGCACAAGCGTGAGAGAACTCATTGACATTATTTGGCAGCTTTATTGAAATATAGCTTCAGCCTGGGGGACAGAGTGAGACTCCATCTCTAAAAAAATAAAATAATAAAAAAAATAAAATAAAACACAGCATATACAAATATGGATTGGATTCTTTGGACCAAATGTTCCAAAGAAAATATGGCAATATTTTTCAAATTTTCAAATTTTATTTTATTGATGCAGAAACTTCAACTTAAAAAAAGTAACTAAAATGCAGACAAAATTATTCAGACTTATGTAGTGTAATATTTAAGACAGCTTTGCATATAATAATAAAAATTGGGACATAACCAAGGTGTCCATCAGTTAGAGATTGTTAAATATTTTATACACTCACATAATGCACTACAATACAGCTGTTAAACCACACTGAAATATATTATTTGTTAAGATGCCTTGAGAAAATGTTTAAAGTTTAGTACTTTATTATCATTATTGTTGCCATTAATTGCATAAAATACATAAGACATAGTTCCAAAATTCTCAACAACTCTATAAGGAAGATTTTATATATATATATGAGAAGGATACACACACACCCCACACCCACACATTATTACAACGTATATACAACCTTCTCATTCATATACACAATTCAATTGTTTTAATTTTCAGTCCCCACAGATGAATAAGAACACGGAAAGTTTGTCTTTCTATGTCTGGCTTATTTCATTTAACATAATGTTCTCCAGTTCCATCCACGTTGTTGTAAATGACAGGATCTCATTGTTTTTTATGTCTAAATTACTATTCTATACTCCATTGTGTGTATGTGCTACATGTTCTTTATGCATTCACCTTCCTATTGACACTTAGGTTGCTTCCAAATCTTGGCTATTGTGAACAGTTCTGCAATAACATGGGAGTACAGAGCTCTTTAATATACTGATTTCCTTTTTTTGGGGTATATATCTAGCAGTGGGATTGCTGGCTCATATGATATTTCTATTTTTAGTTTTTTGAGGAACCTCCATACTGTTCTCTGTAGTAGTTATACTAATGTACGTTCCCACCAACAGTGTATGAGGGTCCACTTTTCTCCACATTCTTGCCAACATTTGTTATCACCTGTCTTTTGGATAAAAGCCATTTTAACTGGGGTGAGGGGATATCTCTTTGTAGTTTTGATTTGCATTTCTCTCATGATCAATGATATTGAGCACTTTTTCATATGCTTCTTTGCCACTTACATATCTTCTTTTGAGAAATGACTATTCAGATCTTACGTCAATATTTTAATAGAATTATTATTTTTTTTCTGTTGAATTGTTTAAGCTCTATATATTTGATTATTATTCCCTCTCCTGATGGAGAGTTTGTAGATATTTTCTCCCATTCTGTGGGATGTCTCTTTAGTGTGTGGATTGTTTCATTTACTGTGCACAGGATTTTTAAGTTGATGTGATTCTGTTCATCCCTTTTTGCTTTGGTTGCCTGTACTTGAGGGAGATTATTCAAGAAATCTTTGCCCAGAACAATGTCCCGGAGAGTTTCCCCAAAGTTTTCTTGTAGTAGTTTCATTGTTTCAGAACTCAAATTTAAGTTTCTAATCCTTTTTCATTTAATTTTTGTATATGGTGAAAGATAGGAATCTAGTTTTATTTTTCTGTGTAAAGGTATCCAGTTTTCCCAGCACCATTTAGTGAAGTGACTGTCCTTTTCCAAATGCATGTTCTTAGCATCTTTGTCAAAATGAGTCCACTGTAGGTGTGTGGATTTGTTTCTGCATTCTCTATTCTGTTCTGTTGATCTCTGTGTCTGTTTTTATGCTAATACCCTGCTCTTTTGGTTACTATACCCCAGTAGTATAATTTGAAGTCAGGTAATATGATTCCTCCAGTTGTGTTCTTATTGCTCAGGATAGCTTTAGCTATTCTGGGTCTTTTCTGGTTCCATAAAAATTTTAAGGTTATTTTTTCTGTTTCTTTGAATGATGCCACTGATATTTTATTTGTTTGGTATTTCCTTGAATACGTAGGTTGCTTTAGGTAGTATGATCATTTTAACAATATTGATTCTTCCAAACTATGAGCATAGAATATCTTGCCATTTTTTGTGCATCATCTTTAATTTCTTGCATCAATGTTTTATAGTTTTAATTAGAGATCTTTCACGTTTTTTGTTAAGTTTACTTCTAAGTACTTTATTTTATTTGTAGCTATTGTAAATAGGATTGCTTTCTTGATTCCTTTTTCAAATTGTTCCCTGTTGGCATATAGAAATACTACTGACTTTCGTATGTTAATTTCATATCCTGAAACTTCACTGTATTTGTTTATCAGTTCTAATAGTTTTTTTGATGGAGTCTTTAGGTTTTTCAAAACCTAAGATTATATTATCTGCAAACAAGGATACTTTGACTTCTTCCTTTCAAATTTGGATGTCCTTTATTTCTTTCTCTTGTCTGATTGCTCTAGCTGGTACTTCTAGTACTGTGTTGAATAACAGTTGTGAAAGTGGACATCCTTGTCTAGTTCCAGATCTTAGAAGAAAGGCTTTTAGTTTTTCCCTGTTCAGTACAATACTAGCTGTTGGTCTATCATACATGGCTTTTATTGTGTTGAGGTATGTTCCTTTTTTGCCCAGATTTTTGAAGGTTTTTGTCATGAAGGGATGTTGAATTTTATCAAATGACTTTTCAGCATTAATTTAAATGGTCATATGGGTTTTGTACGTCATGAAACCGCTATCAACAAGTTATTTTATTTTGTTGTTTAAATTAACCTGGAATATGTATATCTATTTGTCAATTAAATATCTTAAAATAAAACATAAGTTAAATTCATATTATACTAGTTTTCTAGTGTGTCCCTTTTTTCTTAATAATGAAGTCCATCTTCTTGGAAATTAAATCCATGTCTTCCCATCTGTGTACTCAATCTACCTCCAAAGCTATATCTCACCTCTCTTCATTAAACATCATTAACCTCTTAATTTACCTAATTTAATTTCTCCAAATGAATTATACTTTTGCATCTTCAGATCATTGTCCATGGTGACCACTCAGCCTGGTATAATCTACTTATATTCTTGTAATTAAATCCTCCTCATTGTTCAATATTCATATCAGACATTATCTCCTATCATTTAAAAAAATTCCTTGATACCTAATTTTCTGTGGTTCAGTTAAGTGTCTCCCCCACAGATGTTTCTATACATTTGTGTTAGTATTATTTGGTTTATCTTTCTTCATAACTCCCCTAGTTGATTGTAATAAAAAATAAAGACCATGAAAATCTAATCAATTACTTTAATTCCTAACATTTAATGAAATGTATGAACCATTTTAAAGCATCAATAAATGGTTGAAAAGTAAAATAATTTAATGATACATTAGTTTGTTTATATTTATTAAGCCTTTTTTGGTTAAAAAGATAATTGACCCTTGTGATACTATCCCAATACTTACTGGCACCAATATATTTTAAAAAGTATATACCTTTATCTACAATATTTTATGTATTCCTTGAGCTAAACCTAGATAGTATTTTTGCTTAAAATACAACTAAGGGGGAACTGTGGTAAATTTCTCTAATTGGTGAGCTAGCTAGCCTACAGATAAAAAAACTCTCACCTGATAATCAAATAATTTGTAAATAAAAGTTGTTAATTATTTTAAGACTGAATATTTTGGCACAGGCCATTGTGTTTGTGTGTGTGTGTGTGTGACACACTGCATCCAGCGATTTGTTACCTTCAAATGAGCTGGTTAGACAGCATGTAAAGAATGATTGCCTTCCTCAAAGAGAATCTAGGGCCGATACTGTTTTGCTTTAAATCTTGATTTACTATAGTTACTGCCAAAAGTCCGAGTCCCCCACGTAATCCATCACTGTTTGGATTCTCTTTCCTTTACTGTCTTGCATCCTCACTCATATGATCCAGAGGCCTTGAAAACCTCTTTCTGTATAGGCCATACAAATGCCCTTATGGTGAGTGTTTGACGCACCCCTTGAAAAGCCTGAAGATGGAATAGGTGTTAACCTTCCTACTCACTTTCAGACCATTCCTCACCAACTTCATCTAAAAGACAACAAATTTAAAGGTCAAAACATTAAACGTTTCCACCTTCCTCTCCTCTCTTCTGTAGTTTACAGATCTCCACCCATCACAGTTTTTACTTTGTACTGGGACACATTATACATAGTAGGATATAAATATATAATATTTATTATTATATATTTAATATTATATAATATATTTTAAGATATATTTATTTATATATCTTATATGTTTTTTATTAATATATTCAATATTATATTTATATCTATATGTTTATATACATGCATATAATATAATTTATAACCTGCATTATTTTATCTTTTTTGTTTGTTTTCACTCTGCCTCTTCCACTAGAAATTATGTTCATGAAGGCAGTCTATGAGTAACCATTTTATCCCCATTTTCTCTCAATGGCTGATACATAATATGTGCTCAACAGTGACAATTATAGTCATAAAGATGTAAGGATGCATCTCAGTTATCAAGTAAACAAATTAACTAGTGATCAAAGAATTACTTAAAAACAGTGGAATACGATTATAAGGTTTGGAAGAAGTTGGCTCAAAGACCTCTGTTTCAAGCTGTAGGTTTCATATTAGCAGCAGGGAAATAAAAAGAGCAATCAATGGTATTCCTCAACCACCAAGTTGCTGCATTTTGTAAAGTCATGATTTTTCTTTGGACAATGACTCACATGAATCTATTCTAGTGTATAACGTTAAATATTTTGTTTTATTGGCCCCATTCCCATATATAAATCTGTCCATCTAGCTGATCATGTACAACTCCTGTCTGCTTTTACACACCATATTATATTTCTAAATTTATTACAGACAAAATTGTTTTTAATACACATCCCATGGAGGGTGACAAACTTTGTTGAATTTGTTAGTTAGGCCTATTTGATTTATTGTAGATTTTTTATTGTGTACTTTGCAAAGACAGATAGTTTTAAGTCTTCATTTCTAATTTAGATGCCTTTTATTACTTTTTACTTTTCTAATTGCTTTGAGTATATCTTCTAGTACAATATTGAATAACAGTGGTGAAAGTGGACATTTATAATCTTACAGGTAATACTTTCAGTCTTACAACAATGAATATGAAGTTAGCTTGGATTGAATAAGTGCCCCTATTCATGTTGAGGAAGTTCCCTTGTAGTCTTGGTTTTTGTATGTGGAGATGGGGCATAGGCATGTGGCTGTCCTGCTGATGAATGGGTGGGAGGCATCATTTGGGACAAACCCAGGGCATCAGCTTACAGATATCGTGAGCTCAACAGGAGCACTTTATGGCAAAGGCCCCCACAAGACCTCTCAGAAGCTGTGAAAAATGTTTCTGCTAAAAGTTTCTTTATGACAGGTGACATTCATAGATAAAATAGGGATTGGCAGGATTCTTTAAATACTTTCGAACACTGACCTTCATTTCTACCAGGCAGTGAGGCCCCAAGTGCAGGGCCATGGGAAGTGCTAGTCTGGGAGATATTAGGCTGCACCGTCTGTAGAGAATCTGAAAAAATAATAGAGTCAACTGAAATGCAGTTTGGTATCATTATTGCCATGCATCATGAAAAGGTATTTAGTATTGTCAAATATCTTTCTTGCAGCAACTGAGATAATGATGAGTGTTTATTGTTTTGTTTGGCTATTGTAATGCATTAAATAAATGATTTTTCTAATGTTGAATCACATTTGTATTCCTCATATGAGTCTCATTTGATCATAGCATATAATCCTTGTGTATATGCTGTTGGATTCAGTTTGCTAAGACTTTACTAAGAACTTTTACACTAGTGTTCATAATGGATATTTGGTCTATAGATTTTTTTCCATTCCTTTATCTGGCTTTGCTGTCAGGATAACTATTGCTTCATACAATGACTTATGGAATATTTCCTCTCCGTTTATGTTTTTACACTAATATTCATAATGGATATTTAGTCTATAGATTTTTTCCACACCTTTGGCTTTGTTGTCAGGATAACTATGGCTTCATACAATGACTTATGGAATATTTCCTCTCCGTTTATGTTTTGGAAGAGTTTCAGAACTGGTGTTAAATCTTTATTAAATGTTTGGTAGAATTCATGAGTAAAACCATCTGTTCCTGGACTTTTCTTTTTTGTGAGGTGTTGTGATTACTAATTCAATGTCTTTACTTGTTATAGGTATGTTCAGTATTTTTATTTCTTCCTGAATAATTTCGTGTCTATTTCTGGGAATCTGTCCAGTCATATAGGTTACCTAGTTTTTTGGTGTTCAATTACTGTAAGTATTATATTACACTTGTTTGATTTATTTAAGGCCAGTAATAATATTCCCACTTTCAGTTCTGATATTATTTTGTGTCTTTGCTCTTAATTTGTCACTCTAGCTAAAGATTTGTCAATTTTGCTGATTTGTTCAAATAACAATCTTTTGATTTTACTTGGAATCTATTATTTTGAATGTAGTCTTTACTCTTTTTGTCCTTAACCTAGTTTTGAGTTATTTTTCACTTCATTTTTATCCCTTCAAAGTACTGAATTAAGTTATTTGTTTGAGTATTTTAAAATGTAAGTATTATAGTTACAAATTTCCACGGAACACTGCCATCACTGCATCCAGTAAGTTTTGGTGGGCTGTGGATTTGTTGTCATTCCTCCCTATTTTCTTGTTTCTCTTGTGATTTTTTTCATTGACCCATAGTCATTTAAGAATGTTTTGTTTAATTTTCACATGTTTATGAATTATCCAGTTTTCATTCTGTTAATTTCTAACTTCATCCCATTGTTATTCAAGAACATACTTTATATGATTGGATCTTTAAAATATATTTATTGAAATTTGTTTTGTGGACTAAGAAATGGTTTGTCCTGGAGAATGCCCTACATGCAAGTGAGAAGAAAGTATTTCCTGCAGTTGTTGACTGACGTGTCCTACATATCTCTATTGGGTTTATAGTGTTGTTCAAGTGCTCCGTTTACTCTTTGATCTACTCTGTCAGTGTGTATCCCTGGTTAAAAATGTAATATTGAAGTCTCCACTTTTATTGTAGAACTGCTTTTTTCTCCCTTCCATTCTGTCAATGTTTGCTTTTTATATTTTCCTGCTTGTTTTATGATTTTGTGGGCTATGATGTTAGTTGCATGCATGTATATAATTGTTTCACTTTTCTAATGAATGGAGCCTTTTATCAATATACCAGTTCCTTTTTGATCTCTTGTAATGAGTTTCCTTAAAGTTTACTTTGTCTGTTATTATAGACTATTCTTGTCTATAATTGTCTATATTAACTTGTTTATTAATATAGACTATTATTATATTAGTACAGCTATCCAGCTAACTTTTAGTTACTATTCATATGGAATATTTGTTTTATTCTGTTCTGTTGTAATTATTTGTTTCTCTGGACCTAAGTGAATCTCTTGAAGAAGGTATATCACTGACTAGAAGCTAATATGAAAGGGAAAATTAGAAAATTCAAAAACATGAGGATATTAAATAACATATTCCTGGAAGACTGATGGGTCAAAGAAAAAAAATCAAAAAATTGGCCGGACACAGTGGCTCACGCCTGTAATCCCAGCACTTTGGGAGGCCGAGGCGGGCGGATCTTGAGGTCAGGAGATTGAGACCATACTGGCTAACATGGTGAAACCCCGTCACTACTAAAAATATAAAAAATTAGCCAGGCGTGGTGGCAGGTGCCTGTTGTCCCAGCTGCTCAGGAGGCTGAGGCAGGAGAGTGGCATGAACCTGGGAGGCAGAGCTTGCAGTGAGCCGAGATCGTGCCACTGCACTCCAGCCTGGATGACAGAGTGAGACTCCATCTCAAAAAAAAAAAAAAAAATCAAAAAAATTTAACTTTTTCAGACAATCAAAAACAGAAAGACAACATATCAAAACTTACTGGATGCATAAAAAGCCATTCTAATATTAAATTTGATATCAATCAAAACATAAAACAAGAAAAGAAATATCTCAAATATGCAACTGACCTTTAAACCTCAATGAACTAAAAAAATGTGTAAGCCTAAAGTTAACAGAAGGAAGGAAAAACAAAGATCAGAGCAGAATAAAATGAAATAGAGACTACAAAAACAATGTAAAAGATCAATAAAATAAGAGTTAGCTTTTTTGAAAAGATAAACAAAATGAACAAACCTTTAAACAAAGTGGAAAAAAGAGAAGACTCAACTAAAATCAGAAAGAAAAAGGAAACATTATAACTGTTACTACAGAAATACAAAGGATCATAAGAGACCACTATAAACAATTATACACTAACAAATTGGATAACCTAGAAGAAATAAATGCATTCCAGGACCCAGACAATCTAGACAGATTGAATAATGAACAAATAGAATACATGAACAGACTAATAAAGACTAAGGAGATTAAATCTATAATCAAAAGTATTTTATCAAAAAAGAGCCCAGACCATTCTGAATTCTGCCAAACCTTTAGAGGATTAACTACAATCTTTCTCACATTAAACCAAAAAATTGAAGACAAGAGAATACTTCCAAACAAATTTTATGAGTCCAACATTACTCTGAAAGTTAAAGACACTACAAAAAGAACACTACAGACCAACATCTCTAAAGAAAATAGATACAAAAATGTTCAGCAAAATACTAACTAAAAGCAACACATTAGCAGGATTGTACATCCTGATCAAAGGTTATTTATCCCAGAGATGCAAGGATGGTTCAATATATGAAAATACATAAATGTGACACACCACATTAACAGAATAGAGGACAAAACAATGTAATCATCTCAATAGATGCAGATAGAGCATTAAAAAATTCAACATAATTTCATAACAAAAACACTGAATAAATTAAGTATAGAAGAAATATACCTCAACATAATAAAAGTCACATATTACAAGCCAACATATAACTTCATATTGAACAGTAAAATGCTAAGACTTTTTCCTCTAAAATTAAGCACAAGACAAAGATGTCCATTCTCATCACTTCTATTCAATATACTATTGGGAGTCCCTGCCAGAAAAATTAGGTTTAAAAAAAAAAAGAAATAAAAGGAACACAATTAGTAAAGGAAGAAATAAAATTGTCTCTGTTTGCAGATGACATAATCTTATATATAAAAACACTAAAGGGTCCACAAAAAACTATTTGTTCTAATCGATGAATTTAGTAAAGATGCAGGCTAGAAAATCGTTATGCAAATATCATTCCTGTTTCTCTAAATCAATAATAACACATCCAAAACATAAATCAAGAAAATAATTGCATCACAATAGCATCAACACACACAGACACACACACACAAACAATTAAGAGTAAATTTAACAAAGGAGGTGAAAGATCTGTACACAGAAAGCTGTAAAACATTGATTAAAAATTAAAGAAGACACAAATAAATGAAAAGATATCCTGTGTTCATGGATTGGAAGAATTAATACAGGTATTGTTAAAATGTCCATACTACCCAAAGTAATCTATAAATCCAATAAAAACCCTATAGCATTACAATAGTGTTTTTCACAAAAGTAAACAAAAATATAATCAAAAAATTAGTACAGAACCACAACAAAACACAAATAGCCAAGAAGAACAAAGCTGAAAGTATCACACTACCTAATCTTAAAATATACTCAAAAGCTGTAGTAATCAAAATAGTGTAGTACTGGCATAGTAACAGACACATAGAACAAAGAAACAGAATAGAGAGCCCAGAAATAAATCCGTACATTTATGATAAGTTCATCCTCGACAAAAGGGCCAAGAACACATAGTAGGAAAACAGTGGTGTCTTTAATGTATGATGTTGGGAAAACTGGATATCCACATGCAGAAGAATAAAATTTGAACCTTATCTCACACCATACACAAAAATCAACTCAAGGTAGCTTTTGTCAATTACTGTCAAAAACTGCAATTACTTTTGCACCAACCTAATAATTTAGTACAGCCATTTAGGAAAACAATATGGGGGCTCCTAAAAACTTAAAAATAGAATTCCATGTGATTCAGCCATCCCCCTGAAATATATTCAAAAGACATGAAATCAATATCTCCAAGGAATATCTCCATTCCCATGTTCATTAGAGAATTCTTCACAATAGCCAAGATATGAAAACAACCTGTTTCCATCAATAAAAGAATAGATAAGGAAAATGTCATGTACATATACATGAATACACACACACACATACACAATGGAAAATTATTCAGCCTTTATAAATGCAGAAATCCTTTCATTTGTGACTATATGGATGAAACTATAGGACCACACCCTAAGTGAAATAAGCCAAAAATCAGAAAGACAAATATTGCCTGATCTCACTTATTTGTGAATTCTCAAAAAAAAAAAAAATGTGTCTACCAGGGGTAGGGGATGGGAGAAAATGAAAAAATGTAGGTCCAAGTGTACAAAGTTGTAGATAGGTGGGATGAGTAAGTCCAGGGTTGTACTGTACAACAGGGGGACTATAGTTAATAATATTGTGTGTTATATTTGGGATTTTTGCAAAAGAATAGTTTTTAGGTATTCCTGATGCACACAAAAAGTGGCTAACTATGTGGGATGATGCTATGACAATTTACTTGAATATAAATAGGTTCACTATATGTATATCAAAATACTATATGTATATCGAAACAACATATATCTATAATATACATGATATATCTTTTTTAAATAAGAAAGAAAACAGACTTACCTAATAATCTGTGAATTAGGGTGTTCTGGTCTCTTTAGAACCAGGAACTAAGGTCTCATACTGGAAATACAGACTGCTGCTGCTTCAAGTCTGCCATTGCAATAGAAAGGAACTACTTCAAGGGAAAATATAAATGTCAAAAATCTTTCCTACCGTGTCAAAGTTGTCTCTTTCTCTATCTGGTGTTTTCTTAGATGCTGCCAATGTTTACTGTTTTCCAAAGTTTTAACAATTTAGTTATGATAATTTCTGATTTTTTTTTTCATTTTGTCTGTAACGGAATGAGTTTGGAGCTCCTTACTCTACCATTTTGAGAATATCACCCTAGTAATTCTTAATTTTATCTATAAGCACAGCCTTTTGACCAGGGAAGAAAATACCACACAAATAAATATAAAATATTAAGATAGTTTTACAAAGCAGATATTTAACATCAAAGGAGTGATAAAAAGAAATGGTTGTAGGGTTTAATAAACAGCAACTGAGGAGATTTTATGCAGAAGAGAGTGTAAGTCTTCTAAGAAAAATAGAAGCCCAATTTCTCTTGAAAATTTTGTCAGATATCTAGATACGTAGTTGATAGATAGATAGATAGAAAGATAGATAGATAATAAATAGATGATAGATGTAGATATCTTCAAATTGAATATATATATGCATATGTGTGCACATATATATGTATAGCAAAATTACTACTTTCAATCCAACTAAAATATAGTATTAATATTACACTTACTAAGTCAATGAGGCATGAGATGGTCCTGCCATAACATCCTAAATAAATTCACAGATATTTTGAGAATTTTTTCCAATGTGAAAACTGAATTTGGTGGAGAAATAATTCTGCACTTTGGATAACTTTTTATTTAACAAAATATTTAATAATTTAAATGAATATTATTTATTTCTAAAGGTGGATATAAAAGAGGTTGAATGACTTACACACATAATAATTTACATTTTCACTGATCAAGCAAAAAAAAGTTAAAATATAACTAATTGTGAATACCTGGATATGACTAAAAATATAATGTATTGGAATTTTTATATTATACTTACTGTTTATTGAATTTATAATATTTTAGTTGAAACACCTCTACCACTATAGTCTACGATATATGGGGAATTAAACATTAATCATTCTTTAAAGAGAACATAAAATGAAATGGAAAAAATAAACATATCATAAAATATATGACTAACTCCAAATTAGGTTTTAACAAGCAAATGGAATACTAATATAAGTGAGTTTCAGTGAAGAAATTATTTCTCATTAAAGGCATTTAAAAATAGAAATAAAATCTAATCCAAACAATCTCATCATCAACATACTCATGATTTATTTTGTTGGAAAACAAATTTTTAATGCAATAGTTTTCCCTTACTAAATAAATATGAAGTTTATTTAACTTCTAACTTAACCTGCTCTGATTTGGTATTAAAATATATTTGTAAGTATAAGTGTTTTTAATGCTTTTCTCCTAAGGGCAAATAAAAAGTAATGTAATTCTGAAAAGAGAATATTTGTCCTCCAAGCAAATTAATCTGCTTATGTGATAAAATTAATAATACATTTTAGTTTGAAATACACAAATGGACTTCTTTCCCAATTTCCCTTTTCTAAAATTATAAATGCTGCTTTCCACAAATATAAATACTTTAGCTAAATGGGAAATTTTATCACAGGTCTATAGAATATTTTATGATTTGTCATTCTGCATTTGTACCTGAATGCAAGTTGACAAATATGTTACAAATATACCAATTTTTATTACTTGAATTATAGATAAGATATACAAAGACTATAAGATAGTCTACACACTGTCTTATAAGTATTGTTACATTATTTAATCCTTTAATATGATTATGTTTAGGTCTTTGCAAATTGCAATTTATTCAAATAGCAATTAATTGTTGCAGAGTTAAGCCCAAAGTACTATCCTCAACTACAAAATTACTGATCAACATCCAGAAATCATTGATGATAGACTGCTATGCTTTGAATGTTTCTTCTTCAAAATTCAGGCATTGTCAATATAATAATATTAAGAAATGGGACCTTTAAAACGTAATTAGTCCATGAAGGCTTCTCCCTCGTGAATGAGATTAAAGGACTTAAAAAAAAACAAAAAAAAAAAAAAAAAACTTCAGACAGGGTCTGTTTGGCTGCCCTTTTACTTTCTCCCCTATGAAGATGCAACAAGAAGGTTGTCACCAGATGCTGGCACCTTGATCTCTGACTTCTGAGTCTCCAGAATTGCAAGACAATAAATTTCTGTTCTTTATAAATTTCTCAATCTCTGGTATTTTGCAGTAACAGCACAAACAGTCTGAAAGGGACTAATGGATTTTATATTAAGCTTTTTATCTTAGGTAGTTTGTTTTCTATGGTAGGCAGAATGTTAATGATCTTTGCCTCCTAGTATTATGTAACATGATATGGCAAAAGAGATTCTGTAGGTGTAACTCAGCTAATGATTCAGTTGATGGTAAAATAGAGATATTACCTGGGTGGACTTGATGTAATTATCAGTTCCCCCTCAAGCAGAGTTCTCTTAAACTGGTTGCAACAGGAGATGTCTGAGAGATTCAAATAATGAGAGGGATTCAATACACTGAAATTCCCTCTTGCTGAGATAGAGGAAACATCAGGATATGTACTAAAAGTGGCCTCTAGATACAGACAGCAGTCCCCAGCTGATGGCAGAAAGAAAACAGGAATTAAGTCCTCAACTTTAAGGAACCAAATTCTACCAATACTGGAATGAGCTTGGAGGAGAATCCTAAACTGCACATGAGCATGCAGCAAGTCCCTACATTGATGTCAACCTAAGCAAAGAACCCAAACACTGACTTCTGATCCACAGATGACGAGCTAATAAACGAATGCTATTTTAAGCTAAGATTGTTGTAATTTGTTATACAACAATAGAAGAATTAATGCACCTTTAATGCAATCCCTTGATTTTATCAAAGTGATTGTCAGAAAAATTGATATTCTATAAATTACCTTCAAGTATATTTTGTATATATTGTTGATATGGTTTGGCTTTGTTCCCACCCAAATCTCATCTGAAATTGTAGCTCCCATAATTCCTACGTGTTGTAGGAGAGACCTGGTGGGAGGTAATTGAATCATGGGGTCCAGTCTTATGCTGTTCTCATGATAGTAAGTCTCACAAGGTGTGATGGTTTTATAATGGAGAGTTCCCCTGCACATGCTCTCTTTTGCCTGCCACCATGCATGATGTGACTTTGCTCCTCCTTTACCTTCTGCCATAATTGTGAGGACTCCTCAGCCAGGTGGAACTGTGAGTCAAAGAAACCTCTTTCCTTTATAAGTTACCTAGTTTTGGGTATGTCCTTATTAGCAGTGTGACAATAGACTAATACAATTGTTTATGACTTAGTCTTTTAAATTTTTTCAATAGCTAAATGGTCACCTGCTATTATCATTAAGAAGTCAATGATTTTTCCCTGGGATCCCCAAATATCCATACAACCTGGAAATTCTTCTGTCAAAGAGCCAGTTCCTTTTCTGCACGTTAGATAAAATAATCTAGAAAATCAGATCAATCTGGTAGCACTATCAGTAAGTTTGCTGTCACATGGGGAGTTTGTTGGGCTAATCTCCAAGATTATGTTTTTGTTCTTTGGTTTTGTGATTTACATTCACTTGTTTATTTATCACACACACTAACATACACAGACACACACACAAAAAAAGATGGTTTGCCAACTGTTACAGTCCAGATGGGCTTACCAATTTCAGCCATACATTTTATAGGAATTGAGTATTTCCTGTTAATGTGGAAGGTGTTTTATTAACCACACATTGAAAGTCCAGATATCCTTGATGACGAGATCCCATTTGGAGCACTGGCAACATTTCTTGCTGTCAGATCAAGATCAGAGCCACCTGGAACAGATTTCCTTAATGTCAAATAACATCATGAAAAATAGGCAAGAATTTTAGTCTATTCCCTATAAGAAAACCACTAATATACTTGGGCATATTACTTCACCAGCCTGTATCTTACATCTAAGTGGGCAGGTTTTTCTAGGCCAACAGACACACATGGAATCTCTCTTTGTTTTTCACTGTCTTCTCTCTCTCAAACACACACATCACATCCTCTCACACCATAGCTCAGAAACACTTGAAGAGTACACAGGTGGTTTTTACACCATTTTCCCTGGGCAAGCGTGTACCCAGACTGCCTAAAAACTTACTGAGCCACTGAAAGTTCCTTCAGAGAAAACCGAAAATCCACAATCCATAACAAGGATAATTTTGGTCCATAACTATGTGTAAGTGCTTCAAAGCTTGTACAGTCTGAAAAAAGTATCTTGTTTTCTATCTAGATTTGCTTAATTTATTGTTCATGCATCAATTGGAAAAAATGTAGAAAGCATTTGGATTGTATAGAGAATTGCACTGTGGATTATAAATATAATTGCCAATGCAGCACACAAAATGTCTCTTTGTTGTTGTTGTTGTTGAGGCAGAGTCTCACTCTGTCACCCAGGCTGGAGTGCAGTGGTGTGATCTCGACTCACTGCAACCTCCATCTTCCTGGCTTAAGCAATTCTCCTGCCTCAGCCTCCCTAGTAGCTGGGTTTACAGGCGTGCGCCACCATGCCCAGCTCATTTTTCGTAGTTTTAGTAGAGATGGGTTTTCACCATTTCAGCCAGGCTGGTCTGAAACTCCTTACCTCAAGTGATCTGCTGGCCTCAGCCTCCCAAAGTGTTAGGATTACAGCCACTGTGCCCAGCCCCAAATGTCTCTCTTTAAGGCATGGGTTCAAGGAGGCAAAGATGAATTTAAAATAGTTAATTTGTTGACTATCACCAGAGAAACGTCTATGCATGTGGGGGTCGAGGGTGTGATTATTAACTACATAAGGGAGTTGTGGCAAATGAAGGCTATATTGCAGAAATAATCATACAACAATTTCTGAAAGATGAATGAGAGTTACCTGGATAAAGCTGGGTGAAGAGGGAAAAGGAGTGCATGTAAAGGGCGCAGGCAAAAAATGAACTTCATTACTCACGAGAAGTCTACAGTTGATAATACTTGAAATTAGCTTTGTACAAAGCTATGCCAAAGGAGTGGTTTTTTTTTGTTTTTTTTGTTTTTTTTTTTTGCTGGTTTGTCTGTTTGTTTTCTTTGCAGGGAGCCTGAGCTAGTTATTAAGGTAAAAAATACCAAATTAGATATTTTGATTTACATCTAGATATCAATGATTATATTATTTTTACATTTCTACAAAATAAATCACAACACACTTAGAAGTTTAAAACAACACATATTTATGATCTTATAGTCTTTTGGTCAGGAATCTTAACACAGCTAAACTGTGTCCTTTATTAAGAGTCTCCCAAGGCTGCAATCATTGTCTTGGCTCGGGCCATGGTTTCATCCAAAGTTCAGGGATCCTCTAAAAGCTCATGTGACTGTTGGTACAACTCATTTTTTCTTTAGCTGCAGAAATCATGGTGGTGGGTTCCATCACTACTAGAAAGAGTCTCCAGCCTGTAGACTCTCTTTCAAAAGGGACCATCCAATTATGTGATGCCTATCCAGAATAATTTCCTTACTATCTGATAAGAGATCTAAATTAAGTCTGCAAAATATCTTCACCTTTGTCAAATAATGAAGCATAATCTCGAGAGTAATATCCCAGCCTCTTTCCCATGTTCTGTTGCCTCATTCTGTCTAGAAGGAAGTGACAGGTCCCACCCACAATTCAGGGGAAGGTATTGTCCAATGACATGGTCATTGAATCTCAGCATTGCTTGCCACAATAATGAAAATGGCAATACATTTTACTTGCGGTGCTTTGTTCTCAATATTTTAAAAATTCACTCATTTACATATTCGACAAAATTCCATAGAGCGATGATAAGACATCCTTCTATTTGCAGAAGATACTCATAGTGAACAAACTGGATAGAGTATCTATACTCCTAGTCTTTACACTCTGACAAGGTATAAGATCTATGCATTGTCACTTGACATGAAATTAGATAATAAAGAAAGCTGTGAGGTAAAATAAAATGATGCAAGTGATTAGAGAGTTACAGGGGTAATTTTATTTTAGACAGAAAGAACAGAAAACATCTCTCCGGAGAATAGTATTTCAGCACTAACTTGAATAAATGAGAGTGCATGGCATATAGCCAGAAACATTCCGGGCAGAGACATCAAAGGCCACAGGGCAGTGTGCTTAGGAATAGGAGGGAGGCTAGGGAAACTGGGCCAAAATGAGAAAGGAGAAGAGTTTAGGAGATTATGTGAGGTTCCTTTCAGGGGTATGATAATGGAAAACCTCCCATGTGTCTCTACCTTTCTTTATATCTATTTGCATTCTGGAAGGCCTCTAATTTTGTATTATGGTTCAACTCCATAAAGATACAGTTGGTTTTATGTCCCCTGCCATGGGTTAATCTGTAATTGTTTTCTGAATGACTGGTGACATAATTATAGGGAACATAAATTTAGGTAAAGGTGAATATTTTGGTAAAGAAGAATATGCTGCCAAAATTCAAGAAAATAAGTTTTCAACATCCTATTCCTTATGAAGGAACATGGCAATAGAAAAATAAAACACTTTGAAATCTATATAACCATAATGTATAATATTCACTAATAGAATATATCCTATTTACTTTGCCCTTTGCTTCAATTATTTCTTTTTTCTGTTACATAAACATTTAAGCTCTTTTCTTTTTTAAAGACTTTATAAATATTTGATGAGTTTTTAGCAAAAGACTATTTTTGGTTTGTTTTTACCTCATGGCATGCTAGAAAATTCTACTTTTCTCTCACAGTGAAACAATGTAAATGACATGAACCAAACAGTGAGATTTTGGCATAAGGATAGTTTATCTAGTTTTCAATAGACTTTCCAACAAATATTGTCAAAAACAAACAAACAACAACAACAACAACAAAAGGTTTTTATATTTTTTCCTTTTTTTTTTTTTTTTTTTTTTTTTGAGGTGGAGTTTCACTCTTTTCACCCAGGCTGTAGTGCAATGGCACAATTTCGGCTCACTGCAAACTCTGCCTCACAAGTTCAAGCAATTCTCCTGCTTCAGCCTCCCAAGTAGCTGGGATTACAGGCGCCCACCACCATGCCCAGCTAGTTTTTGTATTTTCAGTAGAGACAGGGTTTCACCATGTTGGCCAGGCTCGTCTTGAACTTCTGACCTCAGGTGATCCACCCACCTGGGCCTCCGAAACTGTTAGGATTACAGGTGTGAGCCTCCATGTCTGGCCCAAAACAAGCTTTATAAAATAAGTGAGTACTATGTGTTAAAATAGTTCTCATATAATTTTGAGTTTCAATGGAGCACAAAACAATATGGATTGGTTCTATAAAGCCTCCCAAACATTGCTCTGCCAATGAACTGGTGAAGCTAATTAATGTAAGAGAACATTCCTACACAGAGTGTTTCTGAAGGGAGTATCAGTAATACAATTTAGTGAGTGTCGTAAAAATTGGAACTAATGATGACTAAAACAATGAAATGTGATCTTTTATGTGTCTACACTTACGCCACCCACTGATCTTGAGCCTTATGCATCTCAAGAAACTGGATATTGGGGGTGTCTAGAAACAGCAATTGATAGGTTCTCAGTACAGGGCTGGTATTAGAGTAGTCCTACTTTTTGTTTTTTTATTTCCATAGAATTAAGCACTTTTCCCGTATTCATTTAAGTTTTGGTCTACACAAGCAATGATTGCTTTAATTTGGTGGAGGGATATCTAAATTTTGTAAAATAAAAATTTACTTTAAAAATGATTTGAAATATTTAAGCCACAAACTGCTTCATTGATTTTACTTGACTTTTCTCTAATAACACACTTGATTATCTGCTTGTTTTTCCAATTCTCTGTGTTTAGCTGTATACTCTGCCACTTGCAGTGTGCGTGTATACACACGAATTTTTTGTTGTTGTTATTTGAAGTTTAAATACATAGGTTAGGTTAAATTTATTTTTAAAGGCATATTATGTTTTATTTTTAATATTAAGTGTTGACAACTCAGAAAAAGTCGTATTGACTGAACATGCATGTTAATAGCAAACATTTAATATTCTACAATTCAAACTGAAATATGAAAAAAATTGGTCTTACCCTTATATATAACATTTTTATAGAAACTGCATACATTTTTATTTCATATAGAAACTAAATTATTACTTAGCTATAGTTGACTCTTTTTGATTAAGTATGACAATATCTGTCCCCTATGCTCAGACCATTCACATTAAATGTTAGCATTGAAATGTTCGAGTTAAAATCTACCACCTTTCCAGATCTTTTCTATTTGCCACCTTTTCTCTTTATTTTATCTTTTCTTCTCTTGATCATGTTAATCAAACTTTTTTAAGGATTCTACATTACCACTTTTAATGACTTATTATGTATAGTTCTTTTTGTTATTCTTGTTTTTTTTTTTGATCATGCCCTACTGTTTACAATATATGTATTTAATTAATCAGTGTCTACTTTCAAATAATATTACAAAATTCCAACTGTATATTTCCAAATACTTCTTTCCATCTGCCTTAAACACACAATGTGATACTGCAATATTATCAGTAGTCTTTTCTGGGAACCAATTATAAATGAGTAAAAATGAATGTATTTTATTCAAATGAATTCTACCATCTTCTTTCCATTTCCAATGATATTAGTTTCATTTTATATATCCAAATTCTGACATTTTGTTTTATCCTGAAGAAATTTTTCTTAATTTTTTATGAAGTAGGTATGTTGCAATTAATTTCTAAAGTTTTTGTTTTGTCTGAGAAAGTAATCATTTCTCTTTCAATTTTGGAAGATATTTTATTTGGGTATAGAATTTTGCTAACATGCAGATTTTTAAATTTTTATTTTTTAACACTTTATAAGTGTAATTCTATTGTCTTCTGGCTTTCGTGGTTTCTCAAGTCATGGAGTCTGTTATGTTCAGCGCTCTGTCTCACCTTGCATTTTTGTTCATTTGTATGTAGTCTGCCTCTGTATTTCATATTATTTTCTCTGTTTTTTTTTTTTGTTTTTTTTTTTTTTTTTTTGAGACGGAGTCTCACTCTGTCGCCCAGGCTGGAGTGCAGTGGTGCTATCTCGGCTCACTGCAAGCTCCGCCTCCCAGGTTCACGCCATTCTCCTGCCTCAGCCTCCTGAGTAGCCGGGATTATAGGCAACTGCCACCATTCCCGGCTAATTTTTGTATTTTTAGTAGAGGCAGGGTTTCACCATGTTGGCCAGGCTGGTCTCGAACTCCTGACCTCGGGTGATCTGCCTGCTTCGGTGTCCCAAAGTGCTGGGATTACAGGCGTGAGCCCCCGCACCTGGCCTTCCTTAAGTTCAAACAGAGCAATCCACATAGCAAAAGAAACACAGTTTTCAAATGATGTTGTCTGTAATCTAGATGACAGGGCATCCTCATGAAATGCCAATCCATCTGACAGAAATAGGATGGTTTAGCAGAAAGAGGAGAATAACAGGAAATAAAATGAGATTAGTGATGACTAGTGTAATCCTCAAAAACTAAAAGTATCACTAACAAATTGTAAGGTCTTCCAAAAGAGAGGATAATAAATTTATTGGGAAAAAAAGATGAAATAATTTGTGAAGAAAATCTTGAGGAACATGGAAAAAGTCTCATTGGTTCCTCCAAACTGGGATGCAAGGATCACAAAATAGATGAATATTGGGATAAATTAAAATGTGTGCTGGTGATATGTGTATCAAGAATCTCAGAAACTTAGGTGGTTCCTGACTTCTGATTTCTTGACTTAAAAATGCTGCCACATTCAGTAGAAACCTTACTTTGATCACCCATACAACCATTCTTTTTTTTCACTTGAATATTTTAGTGCATTATTCAATAAATTACATGAGCTACTGAACACTATTGTAAAATATGCTTTTCATTAGATAATGTTGCCCAACTATAGGCTAATGTAAGTGTTCTGAGTACATTTAAGGTAGGCTAGAGTAAGCTATTTTGTTCAGAAGGTTAGGTGTATTAAAAGCATTTTCAACTTATAATGGGTGTATTGAGATGTAACCAGATCACAAGCTGAAGATCATCTGTATCCAACCAAATAACCTCTAAAGAATATCAAAAGCTCATGTGAGGTATCATCAAAAGAAATCAACCAAAAATATTAGCAAGGCAGAGCGAATGAGTCAAACAATAAAGATTCCACTTCTGGAAGTGGCAAAATAATCAGAGTCAGACTTCCACTCCGATCTAAAAACCAAAAAACAAAACAAAATAATGCATCAGTTTTAAAGACATTGCACATCAAGCAAGCAAAGAGAGTGATCTCTATGACACAAGAAACAAAGAAACCATATGGTTCTACTAAGTTACTGCCGTGGAAAAATTTCCAGGCTGTGTTTCGGGAAGGGTAAGTCTAAGTTGAGCCAAGTTTCTTCCCTGAATTCAAGCTGGTAGGACAAGGAAGCCAAGACACATAACGTTTACAAGAAATATGTGAGTTTTATTGTTATGGTTTATTTTTTTATTTGGTCTTAAGATCTGTTTGTTGAGAGTAGCTGTAAGTCAAAAATAGCCACTCTCTTGAATGGGTCTCACTGGGAGGAAATTTGGTTCAGATGGTGGCTGGGATTGCTCAGGTGAGACACAGTGAGGAGGCAATACAACACATACATAGAATAATAGAAGCAGTGTTATTAGAAGCATATTATTACTACAGCTCCAGAGAGAAGAGGGTAGTGTGGCTTTCAGCACCAGTGGGAAGCAGGGAGGTGTCTGAGACAAGCCTGCTCAATCAGCAGGTAGGAAGCAGGAAAGAAAGATTGAGGGACTTGTGGGTTGAAGCCTTTATTGGGGTCCAGGGTGTTACCCAAGCAGATTTCCCACTTGGAGTTTGATTGGTGGATTTAGAGCAAGTAGGCACAAGTTTCTGTGGAGTCACTCTGTGTCTGAGAAGTGGTCACTGTAGCAAATCTCCACAGTCCTTGCTGGTGTGAGGGTCAGTAGGGCAAGTCAAATAGGTTGCACATAGCTGTCCCCTAGGGAGTTTGCCACCAGGGGGTGGTTGCATAAGGCAGATATCTGGATCGACCACATTAAGAAACTGAGAGAAAGTCGAGAACTGGAAACTGTATCAGAGTTAACTAAATCTTGCTTCTAGTATGAGAAAGTTTAACTTATATTCAAAACAAATGTCAGGGCAGCATAAAAGAGGATCTCACTACAGTAAAGTAAGAGAAGGGAAGAATTTCAGAGAATTACAGGGTCCATCTCCAGTCTTCAGCTGATGAATGTATGTGAGGAAATGCCCACCTCGAAGGATTAGAGAGAAACGTCTTCTGAGATCACACAAGCCTAGAAATAATTCGGGATCCCATTAGTTAGAGCAGAAACCCCATCATTGAGAAGCATTGGGTTAAGCACTCAAAAAGGTAATGCCCAATAGTTAGGAAGAAGTTAGACCTAGAAGAAAGGATGTTCTGGTTCCAGATATCAAAGTACAAAAGCAAATATCGAAAGGATCACACTATTTACAGGTTATTTGATTGTATACAGAACAACACTGATGAGCATTTTTGTGTGTACAAAAATGACAAAAAACAAATAAGGCAGAAGTTACAATAACTGACATTAAATTTAAAAACTTTAATGGATATGGGCAGTAATAAATAAATGTGCAAATACTCTGTATTAAAAATTACCAGGCATCTAAAGCAGAAAAAAAAAATAATAAAGAAAAAATGAAATTAGTCAAAATTAATATAGAAATAATGTGGATGAGATGAGGTAATTAATAAACAAGGACATTGTTAAAGTAAATTAAATGAAAGCCAGGCCTGAGGCATTCCTCAAAAGACAAAGCCAGTCAGGCCTTGTAAGTGACATTAACTTTGCTTGATTTGCAAACTTAAGTGAAACTTAACTGGAGCTATTTCTTGTAAAAGTCTAAATTAAAGAAAACAATTTAAGCTCAACCAATCAGTAGGAGCTAACAAACTTATAACTATATAACTAGAGACTTCCCAACAAGATAAAACAAATATCTTTGTATTTGCAACTGTATAACTGGAATGAATCAAATATTCTCTTTCCTTTACTACTGTGTTCATTCTGTAAAAGCCTTCCCTTTGTGTTCCCTCTGTGGAGCTCCTGAACCATTTCTGCTTTAGAGTTGTCAAATTTGTGAATTGTTTTTGCTTAGATAAACACATTAACATTTTACAGTTTACCTTTTGACCTATTGTATGGTTTAACATTATAACAGTTATTAATATTGTATATGTTATGCTCATGAACCCAGAGGAAAAACTAAATTTTTAGTAACTATGTGGAGATATGAGATGTGCAATGTGTAAATATGTTATATATATGATGGCAGATATAAAAACTACAATGTCTAAGGATGTAAACATTTTAGGATGATCTTAATGGCATATTAGATACTGTAGCTGAAAGACTAATGAAGTTAAAAACATAGCAATAAAAAGTTATTTTGTCTTAAACTTTACAGTGGAACACATAAAGAAAAAGACAAACAAAAATACCAGTGAACTTTAACAAGATACCAAACAGTCTAAAATATGTTGCATAAAATAAGAGGTGGAGAAAGTTTAAGAGTTTAGAAAAACAAAGGCTGAAAAATTTGGCAATTTAATGACAAATATAACACAGATCCAAGATCAAGAAACTCCAACCCCTCACCCCAAAAACAAACATGCAAAACGTCTACCTTAAGGCATGTGGTAGTGAAATACTTTGATCCTGGTGACAAAGAGAAATTTTAAAAGAAGCCAGAAAAATACATATTTCATACAAAAGAAGTAGGATTAGAATTACACTCGATTTTTTGTCCAGAGGAATGCAAACAAAAAGACAACCAACATCTTAAAGTACTGAAAATGAATAATACAAGAAAAAACTTAGAATTCTATACTCAGAGAACATATCTTTCAAAAATCAAAGACTTTTTTGGAATATGCAAGTGGAAAAATTTATCACAAGCAGAACTACATTAAAAGAAAAGTCTTTAAAGTAGAAGAAAAATGATAACCTGGAGAAATATCCATCTTTAAAAGAATGAAGAGCGTAAGAATTGGTAACTGTGGCTACGTCTAAAAACTTGTTTTGCTTATTATATGTCTTACCCCATTTAGTGTTGCTGTAAGAGAAGACTCGAGGCTGGGTAATTTAGAAAGAAAAGAGGTTTGTTAGGCTCACTATTCTGTTGGCTAGAAAGTTCAAGAAGCAGGACACTGGCATCTGCTTCTTGTAAATGTCTATATTAAAGAATGTATATCTACATAAAAATATGGCATATCACAATATGACAAATGAGATCAAAATTCCATATCAGTAAACACAAATTAGTTTAAGATATTGACTTTTTAAAAGATTTCAGTAGCGAATGAAGCAGAATCCAGACCTGCAAGCTGCATACAGAGGACACTTAAAACAATGTGATTCAAAAAGTGTAAATAATAAAAGGATAAGCAATGTGTAGCAGACAAATGCAAATAAAAATAAATGTCATATATTGACATTAAACAAAGTAGAATTTATAAAAATATGATATTGGACAAACGGCATGTGATAGTGAAGCCAACAATAAAAATTAAAATATAAAAATATTAATATCATTGAACTAAAAAAGCAGTAATATTTATTTATTTATTTATGTATTGAGACAGGATCTCACTCTGTTATCCAGGCTGGAGTGTTGTGGCATGATCTCTGCTCACTGCAACCTCTGCCTCCTGGGCTGAAGTGATCCTCTCACCTCAGCCTGCCGAGTAGCTGCACCACGCCCAGCTAATGCAGTAATTTTTATAAAGCATAAACAGGAGCAAAAGAAAACAGAAATAAAATAACAAATAACAAATGATTTTAATGCACTTCTCTAGAGAGATAAAGGAAAAGAAAGTTTAGTAAATAGCGTCATCAATAATGTTGGCCTTTATAAATTAAACTTGATATTTTTATCAAATGTGGATTGCTATAGTGGTTTGCTACACTCATCAACCCATCACCTAGGTATTAAACCCCACATGCATTAGCTGTTTATCCTGATGCTATCCCTCCTACCCCCCAATGACAGGCCCCAGTGTGTGTTGTTACCCTTCTTGTGTCCATGTCTTCTCATTGTTAAGCTCCCACTTATAAGTGAGACCATAGGGTGTTTGCTTTTCTGTTCCTGTGTTAGTTTGCTGAGGATAATGGCTTCCAGCTCCATGCATGTTCCATAGTATTTTATGGTGTATATGTGCCATATTTTCTATATCCAGTCTATCATTGATGGGCATTTGGGTTGAGTCCATGTCTTAGACATATTGTGAATAGTGCTGCAAAGTTCAATATCACTGATCATTAGAGAAGTGCAAATCAAAACCACACTGAGATGCCATCTCATGCCAGTCAGAATGCTAAGTATTAAAAAGTCAAGAAGCAATAGATACTGGTGAGGCTGTGGAAAAATAGAAACACTTTTACAGTGTTGGTGGGAATGTAAATTAGTTCAACCATTGTGGAAGGCAGTGTGGAAATTCCTCAAAGATGGAGAGCCACAAATACCATTTGACCTAGCAATCCCATTACTGGGTGTATACTCAAAGGAATACAAATCATTCTATTATAAAGATACATGAACACATATGTTCATCAAATATGTTCTTAAATAAAATCTCCATCAACAAAACATGAAAATAGAGCAATTGGGAATGGCAATATAATAACTGGAACATTAGAGCGGTGATCTATTGTATCTCTTCCTTTACTATAGTAATCACAGCCCTTGGCATATTTCTACAGAATTCTTTGTGATCAAGAAAGCAAAACTTGAAAATCAGTGCAACAGAAAGCTAGAGATGGGAATTTCCAGCCTTGTAAAAACAGGATAAATAGGTTTTGAGATTTATTCTACATAAACACAACTATCATCAATAATAATGTATTATTATATATTTTAAAATGACTAAGTGTAAATTTAATATCTCACCATAAAAATGATAGATGAGTAAGGTGATGGATATGTTAATTAGCTTTATTTAATTATGCAATATCGTACGCACATATCAAGACCACATGATAACTCAAAGATATAAAACTATGATTTATCAATTTAAAAAGCAGAATAAATTTTTAAAAATAAAATTTAATTGTTTTGCTTTTAGAAAACACAGCTAATTTGGAACTGACTTTTAAATCATCATTTTGCTGCATAGAAGAATAATTTTCTGAAATCATGTGATCATTTAAGAGGATTTAAAAAGATGTCAGATGAGATATTATGGGAATCCAGGAATGAGAGCTGACACATTGAGCTTAAACGGAGAGTTTGCATTTGAAACTAGGAGAGTCACATCTACCAATTAGTTTACATTGAAGGTTGGAGGAGAAGCTGAAGATGGACACAATGGTGACATAATTTACTCCTTTAGAAAACTAGACCAATAATGAGTAAGTAGGAATGAATGGAAAAATGCCCTATTATTCCTGTTCATAGCAGTTTCATAAATTAAAGAATAAGCAAAAAAATCCACAAAAATTGACTAATTGACGATTGAGTAATTGATAAGTAAATGGTTTAATACATCTCAAAAATAAAAAAAACTATTTTAAAACCATCTAATCGAAATGCAATTAATAATATTAATGTAATCTTTAGATTATCCTTTCATTGGGGATAATAAGAAAGGAAATACAATTATTTTATGCACGCAGTTTCTGAAAATAGAGTAGAACACAGAAAGTTAAAAAAGACTTGCAATTTCTGAACAACATTGCCCTTGTAATATAGAAGATATGGATATTTTAAGAGTTCTAAGCTTATTTTAAGATATTGAACCATAAAAATATATTTTAAAATTACACACTAGAGTTCTAAAGCAAACATTTCTCACATTTTTTGTAACTTTTAAAAAGGAAATTATGCCTAATTAATAGAGTTTATGCCTCTTTACATGACCATTCTTCCTTATTCAAAAAAGGCCATTGCACCCTGAACTTTGTGGGTGTTCTGTTTTATCAATTTTACTATGCGTAAGTGTATGTATTCCAAAAATTGTAATTTTGTTCTACGATTTCTCAAAATGTTTAAAAATTGTACTTTCTTACTTTCTGTAACCTTCAATTCGTTTTCATGATTTTGATAAAAGTAATCTACAGATTATTCACTTTAATTGGTTTATAATATAAACACACATACATACATGTTTATGTGGGTATACATGATTCTATTTAATAACTACATATATAGTTGATATGTTAGAAGAGGGTGACTTTTTCACACCTGCTATTTCCTCGAAGAGGCATTTTCCCAAAACCAATATCACCTCTTTCTTTTTATTCAGTTAATACTAATTCAGCCCTTGGGGTATTGAAGTATTTATTTAATTAGTTAACGTGGAAAAGTAACAAAGCCTTCTTTGCTCAGTTATGCTGTTGTTCCTTTTGGAACTAAGCCTGTGTACAGAGAGAACAAGTTGTCCTCATCTCTTCTACGTTGTCTGATCTTATCTGGTAGGTCTCTTCCATCCAGGGCCTGCCACAGACCAGCATTCACCAGCAGTTGAGGTATAAATCTGCCCTTTCCAGGGGATCCAGAAACAGATATGCTTAGCACTCACACTCTGTTGTATACTAAGGATTTGAGAAAATGTCTGATATTTTAGACCCTAACTCCCAATTTTTTTCCTATATTCACAAGCTGGTCTGGAAATTTTTATGCTACCCATTGGTAATCTTCAGTTATATTTTTTACCAATGTTACTATTATAAATGATGCTACTGCGAACACTCTTGTACATGTCTCAATAGCTTGTATGAGATCCTTTCTCCAGCATATGTTCCAAATAGAATTTCTAGATCACAAAATATAGAAATATATTTTAGAAGTATATCAAAATTCTATTTTACTGATTATTTCTGTGTTGCTTTCCAAAGGCGTTATACCTATTTACAAATCTGTTATTTCTATTTCACATGCTCTGTTTTCTCTATTCTTCAACATTTGAAATTCCCGTATATTAATTTGTATATGATATTTCTATCTTTGAAACATGTACTTTGTGTGTATTGCATTTTTGTTTACTATGTGTGCCTTTATTCAATCGCATTTAAGATGTTTTTTAAAATAATTGTTTGTGTCTTGGGAGTCCTCTTAAGATACATCCTGAAAAAAGAAATAGGTGTAGGTTGTAGAAATTTTGATAAAAGATGAGATGTTTGGGTATGAGTTCTATTAGTGTGCATGATATCCTACTACTCATTGCTTTCTAAATTTCTGAAACATAAAGCAAAGTAACTTAATAGAAATTATGCAGTTTTCAAGCAAGCACTTTAAATTTTGTACCTCATCTATATCTCTAGTTTTAGATTATTTATAATTTTCAGTTTCAAAGTAAAGTTTCCAAAGGAAAGTGGATGATGGACCGACAATGCATATCTAGTGAATTATAGCTGAAATTATGCTACTCTTAAATGTAACTTAAGTATATAGCAGAAGAGAAATGATTGTCCTAATCAGTGATAAATGATTTACATTTTATGAATACATTTGTAAGAGGGTAGATAGACTAAAAAAACACAGCGTTTACCTTTCTGAGTTTTAGTTCATTTGAAAATATAGAATTAAATATAACATTTCATATGAGGAGGTTATGACCTTGATAATCTAAACTTTGAAATCAACTGAAAAACCAACATAGAAAAATATTATTTGTGTTATCAGCATATATTTCACTGTTAAAAATCTTTTGGTGTTTTTTGATGTCCTCAGTCTGTCACCAATAACTGTTCATTTGAATACAATTTTAAGGGACTCATCTCTCCACGTCTCATGGAGCAGATTTCAAGTGAGAGAAGCAGGCACATTTACCTCACTAAAAAATGACTGCTAGAATCTGGCACAGTGTGAAATGAATAGAAAAACAGTAAAAATGGGTGTTAAAAATACATTTTTGTAGAATGATATAATAATAGAGTCAGGGTTAAAAGCCTTTTGCATTGTGTTTGTTCTTCACAACTTAATTTTCGTTATCTGTCCAGCTTAACTGCTATGCACTTCTAATGCTCTTCAAAGTTCTAAGCAAACAGTTATAGCATATTTTATTCCTAAGATAACCCCTCTACCTATATTTATATAATACAGAGAGTAACTTGCTTCATGTAGCTTTTAGAAAACAATAATTATATGTCATTTATTTTAAAGATGTGTATATTTTAATCACATTTAAAACAAATGTGTGTCTAAATTCTCTCCAAAGACTGAGCTATACACCTCACAAATTAAATAATATCATCATCCTAGGTGCTCGTGAATGGGTGTGAACTCACGCATGCGCACATACACAGATGAAACTTCAAGTTTTACAGCTTTGTTTTTTATTTCAAATTTTTTTTACCATTTTATTACATTTGAATCTATTCCCTAGTTTCTCTCAATATGCATATAAGAAAAAGCCCTCATTCCTTCATATTTGTCTCTTTGATCTTTTCAAATGTTTGTTGACTTTATTTTGTCTACCTCTTTGAGCTCATTATTCCTCTGCCTAAATATGTTGACAGCATTGTTTATGCTCTTGAAGATGCCTTAGTTGTGGCTTTTATTTCTGAGTTTTTCTTCAAATCTTCTATATCAGAATTTAAAAATTAATACCCTAATTATGTATTCATTTATGTAACAATTGACCATATTTTTTGGTACAAGACAATGGGCTGGAGAGCTTTGTATTGTCAGGGGAAGGATAAGGTATGGTCACATTCTTATGCAAATTACAATGAGCCACTTTGGATAACGGTAGGAAAAGTATGTGACAAATAGTATCACATGAATTCACCAGAATGGGAAAATATAATCATTTTGTGTCATGAAAAACTGTCTTTTTTAGAAGCCTACAATGGAGCTAATATGTGAGAAGGAAAAGATCCAGGTAATGGAATTCATGAGAGGAAGGGCTAAACATCTCATAAAATCTGTATGAGCAGGTTAATCAATGAAGGCAGAGTAAAAAAATGAATTTCACATTTCTTTGGCATAACAGAAGAGTTTTCTTCTAGGTTGAATAGTGCGATTAAATTCAGGCCTAGTTTTATTATTTTTTGCAACTATAGGATATTTATGTGAACACCTCCAGTAGATTGGTCCATGTTTGGCTCCGTTATTCAGGAAAGAGATCTATACAGAAAATGTAAAATTTGAAAATTGCGCAATTCCCTTTAATTGTGTCTTGTGACACTCATCACAATATCAATTAAATAATCATGTTCATAATTTTTAAACAATCATCCCTATTGAAATGAATGCCCCCCGAGGAAAGGGAACATGTCATCTCCTTGACTGTCATTTTTCTTTCTATTGAAATAGATTGTCAGCCATGAAAGTGATAAAAGTTCACAATGAAAATGTTTAGAGTGGGAGAAAAAAGATAATTTCAGCAATTGTTAAACAATGGTACACAAATGCCACTCTGTGAGGATGGAATATGGTATTTTCTGATGTTATGGTTCAATGATAATTTATAAATACTATGGAGATGTAAAGAAAGGATCTGAGACAGTACATAGGAAGAGAAAAAATAAAAAAATAAAGTGAATTAAACAGAGTTACAAGAAAGTAAATCAAACTTCAATGAGAGGTAATTGTCAAAGGCAGACTGTAGAAAGAAATATACCTTTCACTGCTCAGTCATAGAAAACAAATTGTTGATTAGTTTTTACCAACTTCACTTGTGCTAAGATATATAAATATCCATTTTCATGTTGACTTTCCTCCCTTTGAACATTGTGTGGAATGAGCAGGTTTGTAATAAGTACTACAAATAATTGGAAGTTATTTCATATGAAATACTCGTATAAGGTAAACTATATTTTATTAAGACAACAAGGGTACTTGAACTTTTAAAACCAAACAATAGTCTATCTGTATTCGAATTGCAACAAAAATTCTGACATACTTGAAATATATTCTTATCAAAGAGAAATTTTTAATAATTTTAAAATAAACTATAATTAAATAGGCTTTTACTAGTTTCAGTCATATTTCTTCTAATCTGACTTGCACATAGAAATTCATAGACCAAGATTCATAAACTAGAAAATACACACACAAAAAATATAGACAGCTTCTCTTCCTTTGAAATTCTTACAGATTCCAACTCCTTTCCAAAAATGGCTAAACAAAAACTGTTCTTTAAAACTCCCTAGAGCAACCTTGATCATTCACACATTCTTTTCCTGTACCAAGAAGAAAATCAAACTTTTTTGTTGTTGTTTGTTTTTGAGATGGAGTCTCACTTTGTCGCCCAGGCTGGAGTGCAGTGGTACGATCCTGGCTCACTGCAACCTCCACCTCCTAGGTTCAAGCCATTCTCCTGCCTCAGCCTCCCAAGTAGACCAGGCCTGGATAATTTTTGTATTTTTATTAGAGGCAAGGTTTTTCCCATGTTGCCCAGACTTGTCTCAAACTCCTGACCTCAAATGATCTGCCCGCCTTGGCCTCCCAAAGCGCTAGGATTACAGGAATGAGCCACTGTGTCCAGCCCAAATTTTTAAAAATAGACAAAAATGTGAAATATTATTATAAGCTCTGGTAAAATGAGAATTAACACTTGTATAGCCCAAATGCAATTTCCATTGAATACTTGAAAGTGAAGAGAAAGTATCTGGGGATATATGAAACAGACATTAAAAGTAAAGGAAATAAAACTTTGAAACATTAGCAAATTATATTTTTATTCATATTAAAGAATAGAGTGTGTTTTCATGTTATTGACTAAGTTTTGAACAGGAAGTCGGTACCCTATAAATTTGTAGTTATGTGTCTACGTTTACTCCAATGAGATGTACTAGAGCAGCAGTCCCCAGGCAATCTCTAAATCATGGAACTTCTCTTCTAGATTTTCTGTGGGACACTGAGACTCACTGTAGGATTACTTCCCCTTGCCAATAAATTGCAATTGCAATTTCCTTAACATATTCCCAGAGGAAATTATGACAGAAATGTGCATGGCCCAAATAATGGCCACAGAGTCAAAGAGCACTGAATGGGAAAAAGCTGGACTTATAGAATGAGACACGATCTGGATCCACGACCTTTTCGGGAGAGGTTTACCACATTTGAATCCCATCTGAAGGCATCTTTTACCTGCCTGGAAAAGTTTGACTCAACAACAGAATAATCAACTAATTGCTGAAGCAATTTACCTGGTCCCTGGACAACATCACTACTGCTGTCCAAAGGATGACCCACCAATTAGGAGAAACCGAGCCAACTGTCCCCTATCACCACATCACTCTCTGTATGATCCTTCTGCAGAAGGGGAACTTGCACAATAATCTGAAGCGACTACTGCACTATTTTCCACAGCAATCTAAGTGACATTTTTGTCATAATAAGAAACATTTGGCCGGGCGCAGTGGCTCACGCCTGTAATCCCAGCACTTTGGGAGGCCGAGGAGGGTGGATCATGAGGTCAGGAGTTTGAGACCAGCCTGGCCTACATGGTGAAACCCCATCTCTACTAAAAATACAAAAATTAGCTGGGTGTGGTGTCGTGCACCTGTAATCCCAGCCACTCGGGTGGCTGAGGCAAGAGAATCACTTGAACTGGGAGGCAGAGGTTTCAGTGGGCCAAGATCATGCCATTGCACTCCAGCCTGGGCAACAAGAGTGAAACTCCATCTCAGGAAAACAAACAAACAAACAAACAAACAAACAAAACACACAAAATATTTGAGAGATGAATGAAGAAATTCATTTCATCACTGCTGTCATATTGACACCACCGAGGAAAGAAGAGGGGTTCTAGGACTTTTCTTGGGACCTGTTAGGCCTATGAAGTTGGGCATATGAATTAATTAGCCACTAAGTTTTGTTTTTGTGTTTATCTTTATAGTTATCCTTCTCATTAAATGTCTTGGTCACACAGTTCAACAACCATCACCAATTACTAACAAAAGATTCAGTAGATCCTTCATTAACAAATTTAATGAGAAGGAGATCTATGTATCTTCTTTCCTTGAACAAGGGGAGTAAGTTACAAAGGTTCCCTACTTTAGCATACTTGACTCAGATTCCTTTGAACCCCTTTCCCTACTAGGTCTCATCATTGGCCTCCTGAGTCTAGTTTAGTGAGAATCTCTCCATTCTTGACATCTAATCCATCTCCTTCCCCTCCTATTTGATATCTAATCAATTTCTTCTTCTTCCAACGCTTGATGTTTAATCATATTCCTTTTAGTAATTTTTTCTCTGTCGGTTGGCTCTGCATTTCTACCTCCTTTTGCAGTATTCAGTTGGGCTCAATTCTGTGTTGAAGTCTATCCCTCCTACTACAGCTGCTCAAATTAAATCTGTTTTGCCGTTTTTAACAAGTGTCTGGTACAATTTATCTTTAACAAGAGATATCCTAAATATTGTGGAAGTATAAATTATAAATGCAAAGAAAAAGTGATTCATGAATTCCCAGAAGAAAATAGCAATGAAACACAAAACAATTAAGATTGCTTATATCTGAGAAATAAGAATCTAGGTCAGGAGTGTTATAAAGATATACATTTCAGTTCTTATAGATTCAGTGGTTGACTATGTCTTTGTGTGTATATGTGTGTGTGTGTTAGTGCATTACTATAATACTGTATAAAATTTTTAAAATGTATTTCTCAGAGAATTTAGAACAATCTGAAAAAATTAAAAAGAAGCAAGGATAACCTAACAGGGAGATACACACATTCTGTACAGAAATACATTTATTCTTTTTACCTTCAATTCAAAAGATTCCTCTCCAAGGAAAATAAAAGTGACTGGTACCATAATTAGAAAATAAATATTTTTGTTATCCTTTCCTTCCCTAGAGGACTAGGTCTCATTTCAAGGAAAACCTACACACCTTTAGGTTTTCACTCAGGGAAGCAAGTGTAAAATCTATTAATATTTCATGAAGACTGAGGAGTGAAAAAACCTGGCTTCTTTCTACTCTTTAAAAACCTGGGGATATTCTGAAAATGATACATGGGTTTTCGACATGTCTGTGGACTACATCAAGTCCTACAACATTGGAGTGAGTCAAGGAGTTGGCATAAATTAGTTGACTTAATTCTTAAAAAACATTTAAGATTAGTTGACAAATCAACATTTAAACTCATTTAAGCTTTCTGTGGAAAAAAAAAAAACATCTGTTTCTTATTTTGTACCATAAGTGTCTAGGAAAATTTACAGTTAGTTCTCATTTAGGCAATTTAACATAAAGCTTTATACTTACTATGTATAGCATGTTCTTTTCCCACCCATCAAGTATTATAAAATATTGATTACCAAACTGAATCTTACATTAGTCTGTTTTAGGAAGTAGAAGCATACCAAAAGAAACCCCAATTTTCTCCTATAAAAATCAATATTTTACATTATACTAATATATGTGAAATTGAAAATATATTAGCACTGGGGTGAATTTTAATTTTGATTAATATAGTCACTTCACAGCAAGTAAATACATATTTGTTATGTCTAAATAATTTATGTATAAACATCTACATAGTTTATTTTCAACATGAAACAGAATAATTGAAACACTGAATGCCACTTCTAGGACTACTTTTATCTCAGTTTTTCTCTTTTCATTAATCTGTGTCCAACCTTAAAATTTCTGTTCTTACCGTAACTAGTATTTTACACCCTAAATTATACCCATTATATGCAATATAGCAATAAGTTGATTACATTTTTCTCCATTATGAGCAATACTGAAAATTCTTTGAGGTAATAGTATCTCAGTCCTCTAGTTCCTGAGAAGAGGAAATTGAAACAAACAAAAAACTACTAAATTAAAAAATTAAGTATTTACTAAATTCTGATCTTCATTGCCATACTCTCAGAAATAAGTTTATCATTTTTAATATTTGAATAACATATGTACACTGCCAGTTAGTTAGATGAATAATGTTTTAAATTAATGAAAATATTTTTAATTAAAATTCTGCAGATGCTTGGTAGTAAGCATATGCGTCTACTGTAATATACTTTAAAAACTCAATATTTAGGCCGGCCGTGGTGGCTCACGCCTGTAATCCCAGCACTTTGGGAGGCTGAGGTGGGCAGATCACCTGAGGTCGGGAGTTCGAGATCAGCCTGACCAATATGGAGAAACCCCACCTCTACTAAAAATACAAAATTAGCCTCGCATGGTGGCGCATGCCTGTAATCCCAGCTACTCCGGAGGCTGAGGCAGGAGAATGGCTTGAACCCGGGAGGCGGAGGTTGCTGTGAGTGGAGATCGTGCCATTGCACTCCAGCCTAGCCAATAACAGCGAAACTCCCGTCTCAAAAAAAAAAAAAAAAAAAAAAAAGCTCAATATTTATATATTCTGTGTGTGTGTGTGGGGGTGTGTTTACAGTTTTTAACAATGGAGGAGTGATTATTTTAAGTACAATATATTGATTGGTGGTGAATAAATGCATTGTAGGGTACACAGTGTTTCTAAGGAGACAAATTAAATTGAAGAGATTAAGCAATTATTATACAATTCAATAGAAAAGGGAATACACCAATATTTGGCAATGTTTGATAATTACATAGATTTATGACCTATATTGATCACATTTGGCATATGATTCTTCTGCTTTCTACTTCAGTTTGCCTGTGTAAAACATCTTTACTGAAGAGAGACTAATCTTATCATTTTCCTTCATTTACCAAAATCTATGACCTTTTATTTGTTGTTTAATGTCCCGATAATTGGTTAAAGTTGATAATTTCAAATGACCTAACTCTATTGTGATTCCACACAAAAGAAATAGAAAACCGTAGAGTACACTTACGTCCTATTGTTATCCTTTTTTACCATATTTTACTAATTATCTTAATATAGATTAGCAACTCAAAATCTATATTTATTTATCGTTTATAATAATGATTTCTAAGGTGAGACATATATTGCAGAATAGATTTGTGTGTAATAAGTAAACATGATGTGCTTCTTTTCGACAGAAGAGACATAGTAATCATAAAATGCTAATAAAGAGAAAAACCCATATTTATGCTTTTAACCAAGGTCTTAATTCAATTTTAGAAGAAAAATATAATTGCAGGCAAAATTTATTCTTATTTATTTAAACTCATTAGAATAATTTATAGGAGCTTTATTTTTACAACTCTTTATAGAGGAAATGCTTACATTAAATTAAAAGGTGTTCTATGGCTACAGGAAAACAAGAAAAGAAAGTTTCTCTGTAACTCAGAAAATAATAAAGGTTTTCATTCTCACAAAATTGATGTTCCTAGCTATAAGAATTATATAAGTAAAAGGCAAGCAAACGTATCACAGAAATATATTTCTCAGAGATAGTGAGTAATTGCATAGTTTGAGGATCAGCTAGATCCTATCCACAGTCAGAGAACATTCATTATATGTGATTTTCAGTTGCAACTGGAGAAATTTCTCAAATTGTATAGAATAACAAATAGCTTTATTCATTAGATTTACCTGATTACCCTTAATATTCATTGCATTTAAGTAAATATATTTATGCCATATTATCATTAAAGGTGTTTTTAAAATTTGCTTTAGAAGGATATAATATTTATATTTTATTATTGGAAACTCTGAAATAATTTTTTAAAAATGCCTGACAGTAAATTATGATTGCAAGATAATGATTTTTTAAGATTTATTTTGTTTGTATTTTGAAGTATCATGAATTGGTTAATTCATCTTTTATTTATTACTAAATATATAGCTAACTATTCGCTAATTTTTTAATTTTTGTTATTTTTTCACTGATTATTGATAGGGTTACACCTGTAGAAATTCTTGACCATTTTTACAATTTCTTCTCTGAAACATTTGTTTACTTATCAACAAGTGTATTTGTAATTTGTCTTAATGTCTGGAATTTTTTAAACACTTTAATAACAATAGTGAGTTTATTTGCTTAGTTGCTTTGCTTTTATTGCCATGGTGCTTATTGACAATAAATGCAGAGCCATTCATTAGCAAATAATTAGCTGTATACCTCTCACGATTGTTCTAATTTTCAAAATTATTTTAAAGAAACAATTTCATATCTACATACATAATTATTGCATTATACATTTTAATTAAAATTTTCTCATCACAAAATTATGTTTCATACTAAATAAAATTTGACAAATAACATATATGTTATGTGTAAATTTAAAGGTTTTATGGAGAAAAGAACATTTGAAATATTTATCTTAGAAATTTGTCTAAGATATATAAGTATTTCTGATAAAACTTTTATCATGCACATAATATTTAAAGACTCCTTCACATTCAAGATCCATTTACCAGTTCTTAATGGGTCTCATGACTTTGAGAAATAAATTAGATAAACTTGAATTCCCTTGAAGTAAATCATAAGTGTACTAAATATTTACATATATAATTTCATCATAAAAGCACTATAATCCTATATAATAATCATGTTCTAAGAAAGTGGAAAGTACAAACCAATCAGATTTTCATATAAAACCAATGTTTGGCTTATTACAGAAGAATCAGGCTTCGACATTTGTTTCATGCTTACCATCCAGCTAAATTAAGTACAAATAATGGTTTTTTAAATTTTTATCTTTATTTCTTTATCTTTTTCTTCCTTTCTTCTCTTCTCCCTTCCTCTGTCCCTCCCTCCTTCCCTTCCTTCTTTCTGCTACTGAAAAATCAAGGTTTTGGGTTAGGTTCTGTCGCTCATCACACGGAACGTCAATCATTGAGATGACAAGTATTGCCAGGAAGTAGGCTTTAATAGGATGCTGCAGCGGAGGAGATGGGAGCTGAGTCTCAAACCCATCTCCCTGACTAAAACTAGGGGGTTTTATAGCAGGGAAGAAATGTAACAATGTGTAAGAAAACAGGAACTAGGGAGGAGCAAGGAGGCATCTGGTGTGGTGATCTGGTGAGTTTCAGTTCTTTAATACTTTTGGGAGAAGTGTGAATGTCCTTTCCTGAGGAAGGAGCTCAGATAAAACAAATACAAATATCGATCTTTAACAACAGGTGGATCCATTTCTATGTTTATCTAAAAACAACTGTCTATGGGATTATTGGGCACATTTGCCTCCCTCTTTCCCTTCCTTCCTTCCTTGCTTCCTTCCTTGCTTCCTTTCTTCCTTCCTTGTCGAATGATTGATATAAAAAAGAGTCTAGCATTTGCCTATTATTGTAGTGTTTCTTTGCTTCACAGTAGTTACCTTAGAAATTATCTGCTCTACACACAAATATCCATGAAAATATTCCATAAAATTGCAAAATAGTCACTACTTGAAAACTTCCAGTAATGACAGTAACATACTACAATAAGCTGACCTACTTTAATATCTTCTTTTTATGGCTTCTAAAGATTTGGTTGTCTAAGATTTATTGTTTAAGTTATTTTCCATAATTCATACATAGAATTCTGCCTGTTGTGAAGTCTACATATGGTTTCCTTTTCAACAGAGATAATAAAGCTTACAAGAACAATGTAAATATTAAAAGAGTTCACGATTGTCAAATTGTCAGAAGGATAAGCAATTGAGAATGTAGTGGGGACTACGCCTACAAAATCTGATTCCATCCTCAATGCTGAGACGCCCATCTGCCAGCTGCTAAGAATACTGCAGGCAGATGGCTGGCAACTGCAACCCTCACTGGGATTTGCCCCAGGCCACAAGGGTCTACCTCCCTGAAGATTAGGCCCAGTGGTGTGCTGGAGCAAGCTCCTGATGACCAAGAATACCAACTTCTTAAATATTGAGAAATTTGGCTAACCAGTTGCTAACTTGTTGATAGCTTAAAATCAGCCATGCAAATCACAGCTTTTTTTTTCTTTTTGTTTCTTTTGAATATAAGATTTAACAGTACACCACTGGGCATAGACCCTAGGCAATGTAGCATGGGAGTACTACCTCATTTTGATACAACTCTGAATTGCTATCTTACCTCTGTAGCCCCCACTGGATCATACAAGGGTTCATTTGCCACCAAGTTTCAAGTCAGTTTTTTTCATCTGCCTAATCTTGTGTATTTTAAGGAAATGCCTCAATCAATTTTTTTGCATGCATTTTATTCTAAGTGTCTATTTCCCAGGAAACCAATATTTTTGGTACCAGACTCTAATATGAGAATATGGAGATGCAACTCAGAATGGTTCTTCTCTTGGCAATGAAGAACTCATTAGTGATGTTACGTGGAGTTTAGATGACCTTCAAAATAGTGGTGCTGGATCTCTTTCACCAGTTTAATCTCAAATATTCTAAAAGTCATATGTATGTATATCAGAAAGAGGCTTCAACTTCCCTTCCTATTGTTAATTCGTCTTTTAGCCATTTTAATTCTCTTGCTAAACATTTCCATTTTTATTGTAGCTATCATATTTTTAGATTTCAAAAACCTTTATTATGTGTGCACTTTCTTAGTATTGCCAAATCTATTAGATATATTTTAAATATTTTCCTCTAATTTCTGAATTAGTACTATGTCTACAATATTAGTTGCTCAGTATTTTGTTGGTTCATTTACACAGCTAATATTTATTTACCTAAATGATAGTCCAGATGCTTCAAATCTACATGAATAAAAAATTAAACATAAATTACTGCCTTTTTAAAAGTTAAAACTTTGATGTTTATTTATATTTCGTTTTCATTCATTCAGTTTGAATGAAAGACTAAATTGATTCATTCAGTTAGCTTGGTAAGTTTCCTGTAATGTGCAGAGCCTAATAAGACCTTTAGTTTTTTGGAGAAAGCTGAGTGATGGGTCTAGATAACTTGGGTAGCCTGTTGCTGGTTGGGTTCCCTAGTGGCTGCCCATGTAGGGCCCTGCTGTGCAGCACCCCCGCAGTTTTTTTTCGGTGAATTACTTGGGCTACATTATGCAAATTCTGTTTATCCAATCCTATTAGGTTTCAATACTCAAGAATCCTTTACATTCTTTTGGTTAGTAGGTATATACTTCCCATTTAACACAATTTTATTAATTTATTCACAGTCATCATAATTAATAATACACACACATCATCCTTGTTCATGCTGAAACCCAGATATTAATGTTTTTGAAATTTGGGACATGCAAGGGTTATTTTCAGAAAGATAGTAATTTTCTATAATACAAGCTATGTATGCAACTGATGGTAATGAAATTATAGAAGTGGGTATTTCTGAAACATATAATAGACTATTACAATTTTGTGTTACCTACCCGCTTAATATTTATTTAATTTATTGTTAAGCATACATGATGTTAACTGATTGAATAAATAGCTATCATGTAAAAACAACTAAACATGTTACTCGAATAGCAATAATGTAACAAATTTGGATCTTTAATTAGCAGGGATTTATAGATACATATATATAAATATGCAACTTTATGCATAATTATATAAATATAAATATATGCATAAAATTAAATGTATAAGCAAAGTATATCTTAATCATAAAGTTTGGGCTTCAAATTTATATGCAATATGTATATTCTTTAAAATATTATATATGAAACAGATGACTATATATTAGGTAGAATCAATATAAATGAGAATAAAAATTTTATGCATTAATGAAGGTATTATTGATTTCCAGGGAGAACACTAAGAGTAAACTATATGTAAAATATACTATTTACAAGTGACTTCTATAAGAAAATGAAAACTACATTATTATATTAATAATGTAATAACTTGAAACAAAAACTCTGCTTCTTTTTACTAAATACTAATACTTTTACTACTACTACCACTACTAAACTGCCTTCATATTTGTCTCTACCAAAAATAGAAAATGACGCAGAAAATTGCTACATACTTAAAAAGAGTGAAATTTTAGAACACCTTAAAACATCTTCTTCTGGGCCTGTGAGGAATATATCTCAATTTGGGCAGTCTGATCAGTTATTCCAGGTTACAGAAATGCTATTTGACGTGTTACAGCATTAGTGTGGGACTCATAAACCCTAAAACACTTAATGCAGCTTTCCAAATTGCCTAAATGTTATCCAACTCAAGCACTTGATTAAAAAAAAAAAAAAAGATTGGCTGCAGTTTTGTTGTTGAGTTTTCTCCAAAAATATTTTTGGTATTATAGATCAATGCATATTTTCAGCTGACACCAATATTTTCATAAAAGGAAGAAAATAAGGTATTCATAGATTATGCTGTTGGAGGAATTGAGATAAAATCTCACATTTGATATAAGTCCGATGACATGACATCAGCTATTTGCCCTACCAACCATATAGCTTAGGCAATGGTTTGGCTCAATATCTTTTTTTAATTATTAATTGAACTAAACAATTTTAAAGACCTCTACAATTAAAATAGTGTAACTGATATGATCATCATCTATTCTAGCATATTACACCAAAATAATATAGTTCCTGCGAAAATTATTATATTTGATAAATAACTCAATATTCATTTGGCTTGGTTAACTGTGTTGATGTATATGTTAAATTCACTTTTACTTGAATGGTATAGTAGGATGCTACCCGTCCTAGAACTTCATGTATATTTTGTATAAAGATTAGTATTCTGTGAATGTTGTTCTATTGTAGGATTTTTTAAATCCTTTCAGGTGCTTTTTTCCCACTAATATACATTTATGACCTAAGCAACTCACTCAAGTGTCAGAACAGCTCCACCTATAACGAAAACATAACAAATTCACTTGAGAGGATTCTTGCTTGGGCTTCTCATGCACGCACTTAAAAAAAAAAAATTCCAAAACATTCACAGGATCCTCTCCATTTGACCACCAGATTTCCTAGTATTTATAAGAATGAAGCTGTGGGGTTATTGTAAATTTGCATTTTTTAAGTATTGGTAGATATATAATAGTGTCCTTGCAAAAGTGTTATCTTTCATAAATCTATCAGCTTTTTGTACAAAACCAAAATGCTTTCAATATTACAACATCACAAAATGTTTTCATATATGCCATGACAAGATTCCCCCATTGTATATTACACCTCTTTTTCAATATTGTTTTGAGCATTTTCCCATAATTACTTTTCCTGGGGAAATTTAGTATAATTTTCACAGGATATTTGATAGTTTTGCTTGTTTTATGAATTATTTGAGGAAAATAAGCTTAGTTTATATGAGTTTTACCTAAAGTCATCTACCAAACGTGGCTTTTTAATTATCTAGTCCACATTTCTTTTTTTCTCACTTGCTAGTAATACTTTTAGTTTTTTAGTTTTCTTTATTTCAATTCTTATATATTACTTCCTTTTTCTCTAAGTTACATATTTTGTTTTTAATAATTTGAATTGGCATCTTCTTCATCTCTTTCCATTTTCTTTCTCTTGTAATGAGGAACATGTTTGAACTCACGTGCTTTTTTCACTTCAGTATAAATTAGGCAATGTCCCATAGGTACACTATCTTCTTGGTAAGAAATGTGCTTGTGACATCAGTCCTACTTATGATTTGGAGGTCCTTAAGTGGAGATAATATTCAAAAGATCACTATTTATGATTGAAGGATGGTTTTTCCGAATGTTAAGATTGCATATGCAAGGCCACTGAGACAGTGACACCCGTATCTTGATCATGAATTTCAGAAATTCTGTGTCTCAGAATATTTCTCCTTTAAAGGACTGCAAGATAAAGAGTAGGTTCAGCAGAGAGCCACGTTTTACTAAAGAACAGATGACCTAAAATATGTTTGTGAATCACCTGAAAACATAGTCGAATTTTGTGTGAGATAGAATTGTCTTACAGATGGACTGGTACAACCCTGTGTTTGTCTCCAGACATCTAGAAGTCTGGTAATGACACTTGGCCAGGATAAAGATATCATGGACATCATGGTTGATAATATTTTGTTTAAAGCCTGAAGTTTGAACATAACTGAGTATAGCTTAACTTTTTGAGGGATGTATGGATTAAAATTAATGGCTCATTCCTGGTTTAACCCATTATGCAGTCTAGTTCAACTATATGGCCAGTGCGGACCTCAAAAACCCTTCTGTAAAGTTTGTCCTAAATTAACTCAAAGCTGAAGTGTACCATGCAGCTGAGAAAACATTAGGGAGCTGCTACTGGATTGCTCTTGTGTTCTCATTGTTAGCTTTCATTTTCATTTTCCTGTTGTACCATATTCTTCAACTTTATAAGAGCCTGAAATAAGAATACCATGAGCAATTGTGTGAGTTCTTTTCACTATGTGACTCTGTAAGTGATTCAAGTATATTAATCAAGAACAGCTGAAATAATTTTTTGTCACAAAAGAGGAATCCAAGTCTTTGTAGCAGTAGGAATAGGAATTTCTGCCCCCACCCCTCAAAAGAATTCTTATTCTTATTTTCTGGTCATCTAAATTTTACATGTGATTTTTTTCAATATGATAAAAAAAATTAATAACTGTCCCATGATTGAATTTTCTCAATTCTTTAATATTATACCACACTCTAATAACTATTAAAGTGTTTACACGTCAAGGAAATTCTGATAGCTGCAACCCATACCAAACTTCACAGATTTGCTACTCGGATTTCCAAAAAAAGAATGTTTCTCTGATAATCTTCACTACACAAAATAATCAGGGGAGTTTAATTTTCTATATTTCATTATAAAATATGAATAGATCTATGCTTTATTTTCAAAATGAAAAATTATATTTTGATATTAAATATAAAATGTTAAACCATACATACTACCTCTCACTTTTATATGCTCCTTTAAGGAAGCTTACCCATCACCATCCATCGCCACTCACCCACATCACCATCATAACAAATTAAAGACCTGTAGAATCCTGAATAAACTAGACCTCAGTCTATCACAGCTAAGTACCTTTCTGCCTTCAACTTCAAATCCTTGCACACAGCAGCTTATGTGAATTCATTCCTTCTTCTAGGTGCAGTACTATGTAACAAATGCAATTCAGAATTCCTATTCATTTAGGATTTACATAATCAAATATTGTTACTTTTTATGTGTGTTTATTCATGTGTGTTGGGTCTGTCTATGTAAAATGTTATATATGCAATTAATACTTTTATAAGAACTTTACATTAATTATTATTTTTGTTTCATAATCACCCTATGAGTCAAGTGCTACCCTTACATACAACATTAAGATAAGGAAAGTAAGATCTGCAATACTTAGATCTCGATTTCTGGGTTTCATTAACAGAAATAAGCTGATTGGTACTTTAGATCCAGCTCTGTCTGACTCAACCATGTGTGTATCTAAAATTCATGTTATCACTTTGATTTGATGTCAAGTTTTGCCATTTTTTCTGGGTTGTAAGGCTAACATTTAAAATACCACTGTCCAAGATACGGTATTTTCTTTATTACAATCCAAAAAAAATCAATTAAAATGTTTAGGCCAAATTGATACATATCCTACACAATTATAAACATGTGAACATTTGTTGCCAGTCAGGATATAGAAAGCAGCATGAGATCATCAATCTTATGCTAATTAAAAACAAAATTTTCAAAAGCCAGAAAAGCTACAAAATAGCAGTTTTTGAAAACCTGTTAGAAAGCTGAAAAACAAATAAATCATAATGAACTAAATGTCAGGAAAATAAAAATCCCTCCACAGAAAATATTTGAATTTCATTTGTCTTTACATGGTGAGATGGTGAGATGAAAATGAGTCCCTTACACAGATGACAGAAAGGAGAAACCAGCCAGATTTCATTGAATTCCTCATGCCAGTGAAGGAGGAGGTTGACATTCTCGCAGATCATCACTGAGTTTCCCAGGTAAGTATTCCAAAGGCTTTCATCAGAAGAGTCAGCTGAGAGAGAACCTGAAGAAACCATAGAAAGGACTCTGGGGTCTCAGCTGCCAAATGCGAAAGACAAGAGAGCTCAGAGAAATGCCTGCCAGTGCCTCAGGGTTTCCAGCTTCTAAAAGCAGGAGTCAGGCAGGGTAATAAGGTAATGAAAGTTTACAGCACAACCCCTACTGATGGTAAATATATAAATGCAATGAAATGAGTTTGTAGCATAGGTAGAAGGTAAATGGAACACAGAAGTGTGATGAAAAATGGAAATGAATTATTTTGTCATATGTTCTGATACATTAAAAATGTATTTTGAAATATCTATAGCTTTCTTATCCAATAGAAATATAATACTAGCCAGAAAGGCAAGTCAGACATGCAATTTTAAGTCTAAGTCCACATTTTAACAATAAGTAAAAAAAGTTAAATAAATTTTAAGAACATTTTATTAAAATGCATATTTAATATATTATAGAAAATATATTCACATTTTCATTTAAATATGTAGCTGATGTAAAAATTAGACTTTTAATACTAAATCTTTGAAATCTGCTGTGGTTTTTACATTTAGAGAAAATCTTGATTTAGTCAGTCACATTTTAAGTCCTCAAGTGCTAAAGTAACTTGTGCTTACCGTGTTGGAAAGTACATTTTTAGAGAAACAAAATCAAAATGTCAAGAGATAAAACTAAATTTTAAATAATACACACTTCAATATTCTTATTTGTACAATGAAAGTAATAATAGTGATTTACCTCAAGTAATTTTTACAAATATTATATGAATAAATTACATGTACAGCAATTATTGTCTGGCAAATGTAAGTGACATGTATTATTAACATTAGCTCCGTCAAGATATTTAAATATGCCTTAAACACAATAATAGGAGGCAAGTTCTCACTGTAGTACATGGGCTAAGTTAATGAGCACTAGTACTCCCCACCTTAAAAGTGAAAAAACAACAATCATCACTTGATATTTATATATACTACATTTAGTACTGTATATATATATATATATATATATATATATATATATATATACACACACACACATATATATACACATATATATAAACTATATATACTATATTTTTTGATCTGATAACTGAGGCAGCTGCTAAGTGAAAAACAAGCAGGTAATGTAGGCAGTGTGGATTCCCTTTTACAGAGAGAGATTTCATCACTCTGCTCAGAATGGCACACAATTTAAAACATAGACATTTTTTATATCTGATAATTTTCATTTAATATTTTGGGGCTGCAGTTGACCATGAGTAGCTAAAACCACAAAAGGCAAAATGCGGATAAGGAGGAACTACTATACATACATAGCTATGAAAAAGTATAATTTATAGATTAGGTACAGTTAGAAATTAATAATATCTAATAATAAAATAGAACAATTCTAACAAAATCCTGCAGTAAAAGTTATGTGAACATGATATCACTCTCTGTCTCTCAAAATGTCTTATTCTGGTGCACTCACCCTTCTCATTGACTATTGGCAAGTGAAACCAAAGAAAATGAAACCATGGATGGGGAGAACTATGTGATTACTTACATAGTTTTATTTGCTATATACAACTGAATTCATAGAAAGGATGCCTGAGCAGGTAACATACATTTCCCATTCACTTATATGCATATGTATTAATGTAAATAAATAACTTATTTCAATCTGTTTATTAATTTATATAGATTTTTTAGTGTGATTACTTTAAAAATCTGCCCAAAGGAGCAATGGCTTCATAAACTGACTTTAAGGTTATTGTGGTTTACTGGGGTCAGGGTAATAGTCTGTAGCTAAGCTAACTTTTGTAATGCATTGCCATTTTGGATACTTGGATTTTCTCAAGTAACAGTTAATGTCATTGTGTTTTCTGTGTTTTTAAAGTGCTGGAAGCTGTAGCAATGGAAAATTATGCTAGTAAGTTGGGAACATAGAGAACCCTGAGACAGCTTAGTCTATAATAAGCAGAAGGCCTTAGGAATACTTTGTAGAAGTACTACTTGAATAGAGGAAAAAGGAACATCCTGATAATGCTTTAAGTGAAAAATGAGTATTATGTAAGAGGACAGATTTATGGGGTAGCAAAGAAAGAAAAGTGGGAAAGAGAAATTAGGAGGTAATGGGTACAATATAAATAATCAAAAATGACTGATGCTTTGAAGTCCTTTAGAAATAATGCATACAAACTGAACACAAATTCTCTTTGCAATCTTAAACACCACCGTGCTCCCCAACACATAAATATACCTAAGAAATATTTTGTCTGAAAAATCTTCAACCCCATATGTGTTGGCTAAAGAAAGAAGGCAATTACTTGTAAGTACTCAATAAGTGAGCTGATAGTTTGCATATTATTTGACAGCAGAATTTTAACTGGGTATTTTTTTGAAGGTAGATAATCTCTTCATTATAAAATGATGATTGACAGTTAAAATACCTGCTTGTTTATTTTTTTCAAGTCTCTCTCAACTAAATAGATTACTTCACTATACATTAATTCAATTACTAATACATCAACAATAATTTTACAAATTTTTAAATAATTATAATTTTTGTTTATTTTATTTTATTATATTTTAAATTTTCTAAACTTTTAACTTCAGGTTTACTTTTGCATAACATAGAACAGATTCAGAACAGGTACTTTTTGTACCTGTTACATAAGATTTTTTAAAAATAGTGGTTTTGATTTTTCATATAATTTTTAACACGGCAAACATAAAACTTCAAGAACATGCATGTATATCACTGGTTTCCAATTTAAATGGCAGCAATATGTGATGATATATGTCACAAAAAGCTATTTCAAGTATTTAAATTTAAATATTGTATTTTAAAGAGACAGAATTTTTTTTTAAAATTGCTCTAAAAGCATTCAACTACTGTTGGAGGAAAAGCTGTAAGGTACTTCAATAAGAGTTTACATTTTATAACATAGAGAGGCCACTTTGAAGCTCAACCAAGAGTCTATCACTTGCCTTGTCTCTTGTCTCTTCTGGGAGGTTGAATCCAAACATGCAAATATATACTTGATATCTAAAGAAACAAATATTAGATGTTTTGTTCTTTGTTCTATTACTACTAAGCACAACATTAGATGTGCTCATCGTTATCATTAAGGTATTATAATCACTAGACATGTCCCAAAATTAATACTACATTATTTAATATGGTTTACAAATAATAAAAACTCAGAAATGTAATATTGTATAATTCCAAAACACTGTCACTGTAATAAATAATCCTCTTTGCATTCAATTTATCATGAGCTTTTAATTGTAGCTAAAAATAATTGAGAGGGAAAAAGCATGTCAGATGTTTTTCTTCATAGTAGAAAAAACCAGAAATACAATAATCATAAATAATATATTAAAGAATGATTTGGGGGCATTGGATAATAGGCAGCACACTCCTATGATCCTTGAGGCAACAGAAACAAATGAGAGGAACCTGATGATTGCTTCGGCTTAGAAATTAGTAGCTAATTTCTACAGAGCAGTAAAGAAAAGGAAAACACAAACAGAGCCCAGGAACATTGACAAGTTGAAAAGTTATTGGAGACCAAGGAAGCTAGAATTTGTGGGGCATAAGAACAAAGAAGGTAGAAGTACATAGAAAGAGAGCAGATGGTTCCCTTAGGTGTTTGGGAAAATACTGAACTTTACTTGTCTAAGAGGAAATACCCAGTGGTAGAGAGAAGACCATCAGAAAGCAGTGGAAAAAGTATTTCTAAAAACGACTAGAAATAATAAATATTCGCAAGTAGCCACAGATGGAAACCTTCATAATACATAGGATACTGGAAGAGTCCTCCTGAAGGGATCTTGAACAAACTTATCTGTTTGTCTCTCCCTTTATTAAAATAGGTTTACATAAAGTCTTCCTTGCCTGTTTAGCTTTTTGCTTTGACAAAGGGAATCTTGAAGCATAATGGAGGTTATTCAATACATTTTTTAAAGACAGAAACAGTTTCAAGTTGATGGCTGTGGCAGCCCACCTGGAACAGCAGCTGTGAAGACACCAGCTGCAGCAGGGGAGGCATAGCCAGGGCTGTGTGCTCCGCAGAACCGGCAGGGGCCAGGAAAGGCAGGAGCCCCAGCCTCTACTGAGTTGGAGGGGTGGAAGCCCTGTGCTCCTGGGCACAGCTGCAGTCCCCCAGCTGCAGCTCCACAACCTGGCCTTCCTGTGCTCTTGGGGGCCCAGGAACTCTCCCCCAACACTGCCCAGCCCTTGCAGGCTTTGAAGTGCCTACTCCGGCTCCCTGGCCTCTCCTCACTCTCGGCTCCATTCTGATTTTGGAGCAAAGTTGTGGCCAAGTCTGGGCACTGTTGCAATCTGGCTGGGTGCACATGCCCTTGTGGTGGTGCTGACACACCAGCCGTCTGCCACCTCTGTCTCCTCCAGACTTTGGGCACCAATGTGCATGGGAGGGAGGCCTGGGGCTGCTAAGGGCAGCTCAGTCCAGGCTTCCAGGCACCTTTCTGCACAAAGAGCCTGGGCACTGTGGACAGCATGTTGTTGGCAGGAGGCAGACAGGTTCCTGGGCAGAAGGGAGTGGGTCCAGTGAAACCTCACCTTCAAGCCAGGGACCACCTGAAGCCTAGAGGCCAGGCTGCCAGTTCAGAGTGGAATTGGGGGCTGGAGTGAGAATTTATGGTGCTTTTTCCAGGCCTGCCCATGGCCATCCATGGGCCAATCCCTTCTGAGCTCATAAAATCCCTAGACTCAGTCAGACACACAGACTTGGGGACTACCAGCTGCAGGAAGGAGCTAGCCACTTCAAGTCTCCTGAGAGCTGTTCTGTTGCTCAGTGAAGCTCCTCTCCACCTTGTTCACCCCCAACTTCTCTGTGTACCTCGTTCTTCCTGGACACAAGACAAGAACTCAGGACACACAGAATGGCAGGACTGAAGGAGATGTACACAAACAGGGATGAAACACTCACACCCTGCTCACTTGCTATGATGCAGGCCATGAGGAGGAGAGAGGAGCTGCAGCTCTTCTGCAAGCCCAGACCTTGGGGGTCCCTGAGCCAGGTCTGTGACAACCTCTTTGGGGCTCTGTGGTTCCTGGAATTTCCAAGCTTTTGGGCACCACTGTGTGCCCCTTGTCCAGACCAGATGCTGGTGCTCACAGTGGAAGCCACTTGTGGCAAATCTGGTCCAGCTGCAGCCTCACATGGAGCCAGTGACTGTGCCAGCACCTGGAGCTGCCTTCTCTGCCACAGCCAGTGTGCCTGGCCGTGCACAGTGCCCTGACCCTGTACTCACTCGCTCACACACCCCTTGCTGCTCCATCCCTGGCTCACCCTTGGCAAGCATGAGATCCAGCCAGTAACACCAGCCAAGCACAGCCTGCCAGGCCTTGTGGGCGGAAATAGCCCAGCAGGTACAAGCAAATCCCAAACAGAGGCACCACCAGCCACAGAGGTTTCCAGTTGTTGAAGTGACATCCTAAATATCCTGTAACAAAATGTGTAAATTAAAATGCATAGTGAAAATAAAATTTTGTCTTTTTTGTTTTAAAATTAATCTAACCTGTAAATTTTTCTTAATTGCATGAAGAATATAAAGACTCTTTTAGCTCTATAAAAACACAAGTCTTATATCCTACTAGGTATAAATACATCAGGGTAAATGGTTACAAATCAAATTATTCTTCATATGACAAAAAATCAAATCAAAAATACATTTCTGAGCAATATCCTAATAAATATAGCTTCCTGTTAGAAACATACAAATATACATACCTTGGAAGACATAAAAATGTCTTGAAATTTTAAATTGCATTTCTTTTAAAACAGTTATTATAATATCGCACACATATGAAAAGTGCAAAGTCATAAGTGCACAGCCTGATGAATATTCAGAAAACAAATACAAGTAATGGAATGATCAACAGAACATAAGATAGAACTACACCAACAAGAGAAGCCTCTTGGAAGTCCCAATCACTACCCACATATGCACAAAGACAACCTAGTACACATGATTAATTCATATCTCTTGGTTGACAAGATTAATTTGATGTAACACTGCTCTCCTCCAGAGAAGATAAACTTTAGTTTCAGTATGCGATTAAACTAGAGGAAGAGCACAAAAATATAAGACATTGACCAGGTTATCTTATTTCTAGGCTATGTGAGTGCAGTTACATTTGTAGTTTTAACGTACTGACTACCACACTAAAGGATCCACACTAAAATTCCGAAATATTACCAAAGTCCTTTCCATTGTGATGAACCCCCAAATGTTATTTTTATTTCCTAAGTGTATCTTAGGGATTCTCAAAGTTCTGATCAGTCTTGAACTTTCAGTTGCTTCTTGCAAATCAGTAAATACATAGAAAATCAGTGTTGAATGTCAGGCAGTTTGCTGCCTCTCTTCTGTCATAAATCTCACCCCCAAATGTGTTGCTTACATTTATAGTTCTCCAATACATTCAGATAACCATCCCCAATCCCCAATCTATAATGTCAGCTTTTCTAGTTATACTCATGAGCATTAAATAATTTTTAAAAAAGAGTAACAGAGGAAAAATTATACCACATCTGAAACATGTAAGATAATGTTTAGCATTTTTAAAATAGACACATGGAAGTAGCTTTTAGAAAAATGACAGTGAAAATTTAGATTTTATGTAAGTTTTATTTATTGGTAACAAATAGTCTTTAATTCCTCTCATCTTTGAAACCACACTGTTTTTGTTTACCTAGTAAATCCTGTTTTGCAAATTTCTTGTGTATGTCATCCTCCGTTCAAAGGATTTCTTAAATATAATTGTTAAGTATAGTGTAAAGCATAACCATAATTTTAACCAAGCCACAAAGTAATCAAAGTCTTTATGGCCTACAATGTGTTGGTGTCATTATATATATATATGAATTATATATACATTACATTTACATTATATATATTTGTATTATATGTATCCAAATAATATGTAAATACTTTAGAAATCTTACTAATAACTATGTGCAAGATTCTAAGCAATGTTAAGTTCTTTTGTTTTTTAAAATAAAATGCAGCAATAGAAAATAAATACTTTTATAAAATTATAAACAGGTTAAATTTTAAACATTTCCCCAAAATTTGTATAAAAACTAGTAGCTTTTACTCAATCATTTTTTCATCCTCAAAAGGATCTCATTTCAAACGGTTTACTTACTATTGAGAATTTACTACCATTTTTTCTGAGTAACACTTTTATAGAGCTACCTATATATATATATTTTTTTTTTTCAATTTTAGGCATGGCTTTTGATTTCTCATTATTGACTGCAAGAATATTGCAAATTTCCCCCATCTTACACAATTAATGTATTTGTAAAATAATTTTTAGTTAAATCAAAATTTTGAGTTTATAGTTATATAAATATTGAAGTTACTGACAGCTAAGCCATGTAGAGTTCTATTACACCACTTAATTTCGTATTCATTATTTTGTTTTTCCCGAAGTAATAATTGTCTTCTTTTTTCTTGATTAGTTTATTTCTCTATTTTTATCTTTTGAAAATTTTACTCTAGTTAATGTAAACTTTTTATAACTTCATCCCCCCAAGTTTCTCCTATGTTATTTAGCTTTAAGTTTCTCTTTATCTATTTTCTTTTTTTTATTCACTAGCATATTTTAACTTTCTGAATCTCATTGTTATTCCTTTTTTTTTTTTTTTTTTTGACGGAGTTTCGCTCTTGTCTCCCAGGCTGGAGTGCAATGGCGATCACTATCTCAGCTCACTGCAACCTCGCCTATTAGGGTCAAGCAATTCTTTTGCCTCAGTCTCCCGAGCAGCTGGGATTACAGGCAGCTGCCACCACACCCAGCTAATTTTTGTATTTTTAGTAGGAACGTAGTTTCACTGTGTTAGCTAGGCTGGTCTCAAACTTCTGACCTCAGGTGATCCACCTGCCTCGGCCTCCCAAAGTGCTGGGATTACAGGTGTGAGCGACCGCACCCGGCCTGTTATTCTTTTTAAGGTCATTTGTTACATCATGTTATTCCTATATTATGGATATTATATTATTATCCTTTCTCTCAGGAATATGATTGTATGTTTTCTCATTCCTTCCTTGTCTCTATCTTCCCCAAATTATTTTTATTCTATTAGCTGTTTTTCTTTGTTTTATACCAAATATTTTCCTCAAATGTCTATAATGTTTGCCTCATTTATTTAAAAATGGTATTAAATTATCTATTTTATGTCATTTATGAAAGTATGGTGGGAAAAGCAAAAACAGTTTACATCAGTCTGACTCCAAGATTTCAGTGCTTCACCAATAAGGCATGCTGCCTCCCTTTATTTTATTTTATTTTATTTTTTGAGACAGAGTCTCTCTCTGTCTCCCAGGCTGGAGTGCAGTGGCAGGATCTCTGCTCACTCCAAGCTCTGCCTCCTGGGTTCACGCCATTCTCCTGCCTCAGCCTCCCAAGTAGCTGGGACTACAGGCATCTGCCACCATGCCTGGCTAATTTTTTTTGTATTTTTAGTAGAGATGGGGTTTCACTGTGTTAGCCAGGATGGTCTCGATCTCCAGACCTCATGATGCTTCTGTCTCGGCCTCACAAAGAGCTGGGATCACAGGCGTGAGCCAGTGCACCCGGCCTATTTTTCAATAATTAAATTGTGCTATACTTAAAACAAAACATGCTACTTTTATCAACACAAAACACAATAAGGTTCTAAAAAGTTATAATTGCTCATTTAAAAATCAAAATTGCATTTTAAATATGTTGCATTTCACATAGTAACAGAATGCCTATTTTTCAATAATTAAATTGTGCTATACTTAAAACAAAACATGCTACTTTTATCAACACAAAACACAATAAGGTTCTAAAAAGTTATAATTGCTCATTTAAAAATCAAAATTGCATTTTAAATATGTTGCATTTCACATAGTAACAGAATTTTTATTAAATTAACCTATCAAAAATCACACATAAAATTATTTACTACATTTTTATAATATCTTTTTATTATGCTGAAGATTTATTAACATGAACTTATACTATGAAATAAAAATAAACCTTCCCTCAGTTTACACATAGTTTCTTTTCTGGGAATTTGAAGCACAGTAAAAGTATGTTAAAAGAGTTTCACTTGAGTATACAATTGAATTAGGCTGGAAGGTTAAATAATGCTAAATGTGGGTTCCAGCCATATGATTGATTATTGGAACGTTGGAAATTTAGGCAGTGTTTGAGACAATTCTGCATTGTGTGCATAACATCTAACAACCTTAGCAAACAAAATGTTCACCAAATCACCTTGTAGCATATAACATTCCCTACAGCAGAACACTGTTCTACATAATTGATCTCAATTCATAATCAAGTAGAATGCAAAGTGAAAAGTTAAAAATAATATTGGATGCATGCATGGAAATAAATGGCATAAATATAACTTGTTTTATGTGTTTAAAATGCAAGTGGCAATTTTTCAGAGTAGATTATTTTAGTAGAAATTTGCAGGATGTACAATGAAATGAAAAGGACCCACTGTGAGACAAAAGAACCAATTCAGACAAGAGAAAGTGAGTTTAACATTGTGAAGAAGAAATAAAAATGATAGGCTTTCTTAAGCCATTGCCAAGATACACTTTAAAAATTTTTTTAAGTGATTATAAGTATGAGAGTATTAAAGATAATTTGAAAATTGCTACAAATAATAGTTGAGTGAAGCAGAGTTCACTTAATCCTTGGTTCCTGGATCTCCAGCAGGCCACTTCTCAGATGATTAAATGTTTGATTCTATTGCATTTGTGAAAAGAATTTGACACGGCAATCACCAACTCTTCCCTGACTCCCTGTTCAAAGAAAACTCACATTGCATTCTTTGACCACCTATGAAATACTGTCAGGTCTCATCTTAACTCTAACTCCCAAGAATCTCATTAGGCCATTGAGTGCTACTTTCCAGGTTTCCTGGAGTAGAGGTCAGACCCCAGACTCTGCAGGTTAAATAATGTTCTTTGAATGATCCTGTTAAAACCAACCCTTTTAAACTTAGATTTGAGTAGTAGACAGTACCTATATGTCCCATGGGGAAGATATGGGTAGAACTTACAGAAGAGCTTGTGCTAAAGAAATTCTCCTCAGTAATTCCTGTCTCTCCCTCTCTCCAATTATCCAGCCCCTTTTAGTTACATATTACTGGTAAAGTCATGCAAGCTCTAAGACTGATGAGTTGATACATATTTGAACATCTGGATTTCTCTCTGTCCACATGGATTTGTATGAAATCATCTTAGGTTATTAAACAGAATTGCAATTTTATCATTCTCTTCAGTTAATATTATATATATATTTATTTATATATAAAACTTTATTAACTTTTTAAACATTTCATTATTTAAAAGACTAGGACTTGCAGATTTCAATTATTGAGATTCTAACAACAACTTACAATGTCAGATTCTTGCTTTGCGAAAGTAATTTTGAATGAATTTGTGAATATATAAGAATATGTGAATAGATTTAAAAGGTGGGATTATTTTAAATAAGTAATAGCGTATTCCATGCATGTAAACTAATGACACCTTGACTCAGAAAACAGGACTTCATAATTTACAAGGATATGTGCATTTTAACTCTATATATCAAATATATTTCATGAGTTCCTACAGTGCTGAGGAGTCCAAGCTAATATTAGGGCTGAAGAAGAGAAAGAAACAAGTAAGAATGGAACCTTATAAAGATAGATGGTGACAGTGTTGTGTGTCATGTTTAGCACAGGTTTTGAACCTAAAGTTAATACAACACACACACACATAGTTATTAGAAAGGGAATAAAGACTAATGCTGTGGCCTAAAAGTTTGTGTCTCCCCTCCCAAATTCCTCTGTTGAAAGCTAATCCCCAATCCAATACTATTAAGAGAAGGAGACTTGGGTATGATTAGGTTATGAAGGCTCAACTCTCATAATGGTATTAGTGCCCTTATAAAATAGGAAGGGAGCTGGTTTACCCCTTCCACCATGTGAGAACTCAACATGAGGATGCTGTTTTGAAGAAGAGATCAAGCTTTCACCAGACACTGCATATGCTTATGCCTTGATCTTGGACTTCTCAGCCTCCAGAACTGGGAGCAATAAATTTCTATTGTTTATATATTACCCAGACTAAGATATTTAGTTGTAGCAGCCTGAACAGACTAAGACAATGAGTTTGCCATGAACTGCTGCTATCCAGCAGCCTGTCTCAGGCGAGAACATAAATTACTCATTCCGTTACTTATTTCAACTTTCTATCCTGTCTGCCAAACACCCTCATTTTAACCCTTCACCCCCACCACACCCACACACAGGAAATAGAGGCAGTTACTGCACCATGCAGCTGCTGGATGTGGTAAGTCTAATTTTATCATATCTATTTAGCATATGTAACTTCCTTGATTTTTCGTCAAACATTTTCAGAACAGCCACATCCAGACTGTTTCCATAATAGAAGAAGAAAATAACTACTGATCAAGCATTTCTTAGGAGAACACACAGCCAGATTGGGTGGATGGACCACTTTTCTTCTTTACTTCTACAGTGGAACTCCAGTATATCCTTGTAATTCTTTTCTCATGAAATGGGGTTACTTGTTACTGCTAGGGTGGCTGATTTTCTGATTTCACTTGAAGCTCTAGGAATGCCTATCTCAGAAAGGTCCAGCCAGGCAGGATTTTCACATCAAGTCCTAGAGTAGAACATCAAAAAGAAGACACATTGGTTGAGGTGGGAGAGGCCTGGATACTAAAAAGGGAAAATTCTTGTAAGGGAGATACAAATCCCATTTGAAATAACAGGAGGCTCATGCTCTTCTGCACACCAGAATCCTCCCAATATTTACAGTTAAATGTGATACCACAGGAGGCTTAGCCTCATATTCTAGATAGTATTGTAGGAAACACAATAAGCCTATTTATTTAATATAAGTGATAGGGTGAGACCATGAAAAAACCTGGGCAGAGTGAAATTGCACTGCATGAGAAAGTGAAAAATATCAAGGATAGTAACTAGGAAGATAGGTGTATTCGTCCATTTTCACACTGCTATAAAGACATACCTGAGACTGGGTAATTTACAAAAGAAAGAGGTTTAATTGACTCACAGTTCAGCATGGCTGGGCAGGCCTCAGGAAACTTAGAATCATGGCGGAAGGAGAAGCAAGGCACCTTCTTCACAAGGCAACAGGAAGGAGAAGTCCGAGTAAAATGGGAACAGTTTCTTATAAAACCATTAGATATCATGAGAACTCACTCACTATCAGGAGAACAGCATTGGGGAAACCACCCTAATGATTCAATTACGTCCACCTTGTATCTCCCTTAACATGTGGGGATTAGAAGGATTATGGGGATTACAATTCAAGATGAGATTTGGGTGGGGCCACAAAGCTTAACCATATCAATAGGTTTTGAAGGCTTAATCTAATAGAAGATATTGGGAGAGGAAGAGTTTCAATGCTGACTTAAGGTGGATCTTGGTCCTATTCCCATATAATAAAGACTTTTAGAATATTTGAACTCTATATAATCTCTCCCTCCAGATATTTACATTATTGTATCATTTAAAAATTACACAATTACACACACACACACACACACACACACACATAAAATCATCCCTTAGTATCCATGAAAGATTGGTTCCAAGACTCCCTAGGAATACCAAAATCCATGGATGCTCAAGTACTTAATATAAAATGGCTTAGCACTTACATATAACCTATGCACATTCTTTCATTCAAATGATCTCTAGATTTCTTATAATAAGGTAAGTTTACAAATAAATTTAAATACACACTTCTTTCATTTTATTCTGTTTCACTTTATGGCACTTCTCAGATATTGCACTTTTCACAAATTGAAGGTTTGTGCCAATCCTGCATCAAGGAAGTCTATCAACTCCTTTTATCCAAAAGCATATGCTCACTTCATGTCTCTGTGTCACACTTGATTAATTTTAATAATATTTGAAATATTATTTTCATTATTATTATATATTTTATGGTAATCTGTGGTCAATTATCTTTGATATTACTATTGTGATTGTTTTGGGGTACCACTGACTACACGAATATTAGATGATAATTGCATGTCTTCTGAGTGCTCCACTGACGACCCATTTTCACATTTCTCCCTCTCTCCTTGGATTCCCTATTCCATGAAACACAAAATTATTAAAATTAGGCTAGTGGTTTTACCTTGATATGGCCTCTAAGTGTTTAAGTGAAAGAAAAAGTTGACTGTTTCTTACTTTAAATAAAAAGCTAGAAATGATTTAACTTAGGAAGTCATGTCAAAAGCTGAGATAAACTAAAAGCTAGGCCTCTTGTGCCAGTTGGCCAAGCTGTGAATGAAAAAAAAAAAAAAAAGATTCTTAAAGGAAATTAAAGTGCTACTTCAGTAAACATAGGAATGGAAAGAAAGTGAAATCGCCTTATTGATGATATGGGAAAGTTTTTGTGGCCTGGCTAGAAGATCAAACCGATCACAGCATTTTCTTAAGCCAAAACCTAATCCAGAGCAAGGCCTAAGTATCTTCAACTCTATGAAAGCCAAGAGAGATGATAAAGCTGCAGAAGAAAAGTTTGAAGATAGTGGAGGTTGGTTCATGAGGTCTAAGGAAAGAAGCCTTAGTGCAAGATGAAGAAACAGGAGTTTTAGTAATAGTAGCAGCAATTAGTCCAGAAGGTTGAGCTAAGATAATTAATGAAAGTGGTTACACTAAACAATATATTTTTGATGTAGATGAAACAGCCTTCTATTGGAAGAAGATGTCATTTAGGGCATCATAGATATAGAGGAGAAGTCAATGACTGGCCTCGAAGCTTCAAAAGACAAGTTGATTCTTGTTAGAGGTTAATAAAACCAGTGAAAGTAAATTGATGCCAATGCTTATTTACCATGCTGAAAATACAAGGCCCTTAAGAATTATGCTAAATCTACTCTGCCTGTGCTGTATAAACAGAGTAAAAATAGACTGATGACAGTATATCTATTTACAGTACAGATTCCTGAATATTTAAACCCTGTGTTGAGACCTATTACTCAGAAAAAAAGAGTAAAATATTTATTTCAAAACATTACTGCTCATTGACAATTCTCCTAGTCGCCCTATAGCTCTGATAGAGATGACAAGGATATTAATGTTGTTTTCATGCCTGATAACACAACGTGGAGCCCATGAATCGAGGAGCAATTTCGACTATTAAGTCTTATTATTTGAGAAATATATTCGGTAAGGCTATAGCTGCCATAGTGATAGTGATGGATCTGGGCACAGTAACTTGAAAACCTTCTGAAAAGAACTCATTATTCTACATGACATTAAGAACATCCATTAATCATGGCAGAAGGCCAAAATATCAACATTAAAAGGAGTTTGGAAGAAGTTGATCCCAACGTTAAGGACAACTTTGAGGAGTCAAAGACTTCAGTGGAGGAAGTAATTGCAAACGTAGTGGAATTAGCAAAATTCCTAGGATTAAAAGTGGAGACTGAAGATGTGACTGAATTGCTGAAATTTCCTGATTAAACTGGAATGGATGAAGGGTTGCCCATTTTGGGTAAGCAAAGAAAGGTTTTTCTTAAGATGGAATCGACTCTTAGCAAAGATACTGTGAAATGACAAAAAAGGATTATTACTTATAGAAATGACCAAAAAAAAAAGGATTGAGAATATTATACAAACAAAGCTGATAAAGCCACAGCAGTTTTTGAAAATAGACTCTAATTTTGAAAAATAGTTTTGTGGGCAATATTTATCAAACAGGATCACATGCTACAGAGAAATCTTCAATGAAAAGTAGAGTCAATCAACGTGGCAAACTTCACTGTTGCTTGATTTCAAGAAATTTTTACAGCAACCTCAACCTTCAGCAACCACTATATTCATCAGTCAGCAGCCATCAACATAAAGGCAAGACCCTCCGCCATCAAAAATATTACCACTTGCTGAAGGCTCAGATAATCATTAGTAATTTTTAGCAATAAAATATTTAACATTACAATTTTTAGACATAATGCTATTGCACATTTAATAGACTCTATATTACAGTGTAAACGTAACTTTACATATGCACTTGTAAACCAAAATTTTGTGACTCACTTTATGGAAATACTCAGTTTATTGTGCTATGGAACAGAAATTGCAATATTTCCAAGATATGCCTTTAGTTGTTATACTATATTATTTAGGAAATAGTGACAAGAAAAAAAATATGTTAACGTTCAGTACAGAAGTAACCATACTTTTTTTATTTGAATAATTACAAACCACACTTGGTTGAATCCATGGATGCAGAACCTGTGGATATGAAGAACAAATAATGTATATGTATTTTTTCTACATTTTGAAGACATTATTATTATTGCATTTAAACATCTAAATATAGTTTTTAAATAATTTCAGCTTTTATTTTAGATTTGGAGGTATACGTGCAACTGTGTTACATGGGTATAGTGCATTACACTGAGGTTTGGGGTGTGATTGATCCTGTTACCCAGATACTGAGTATAATAACCAATAGTTAATTTTTCAGCCTTTGACCCTCTCTTGATCTCCTCCCTCTAGTCTAGTAGTTCTCGGTGTCTATTTTCACTACCTTTATAAACATTGTTAAACAGTCTGTAAACTCACTATGTAGCTTTTACCTATCCAAATGAGTAAAATAATATCTAATAGATAATCTTTCTTGGAGTATATTAAGGTCAATAGATTTTCATTCAATAAAGAGATATGTTAAAAGTAGGGTGTTTTGTTTTTCTTTGGTTAAAAATATAACTATTTAAACATATGTTTTATAAAAGTTTTGAGAATAGTTTGAGAAGCTCGTACTTCTAAACAAGACTGAATATTTTTTCTGACTTTCAACCAAATTTGCTGTATTTCTCCTTCTGTCTTATGTGTGTGCACATATGTGTATGAAATTGTGTGTATATATTTGTTGTGGGACTCAATTTTCTTATCTAGGATTTTAGAATATGAGAATATTCTAACCTGATAATTTCTCATTATGCTTTAAATTCTTCAATTGTTGAATCCAGTATATTCAATTGTTTTCAGTTGGAGAATTAGTCCAAATGAGTTTGCTCACTTTCATTAGAATAGTCTCTATTTTCCTTATCATATTTATTAAAGCCATATTCGAACAGCTATATAAAGAATTAAATATAAGAAATACCACCCTCCAAGTGATATTTAAGAAGAAAGTAGTCTTGTAATACAGTGCCTTAACACAGGAACAAATAATATCTGAAATAAAGAAAAGCAAAATAAAGTGAAAGTGTTAGATAATAAGACAATGGATTAAATCTCCATAGTTCTCTGAAAAAATAAGCTTACACTTTAGTTCTTCTAATCACGTTTTGCTGCAGATTTAATTATGATATATTTGTTTTCCTCATCTCTCTCAGAACCAAAGCTTTAGCCCAAAAGGCTATTAGAAAATTAGTCATAAAATTTTACCTTGCTTAAAATTTTTATTCTCAATATGCTGGTTAATGATAGAATTGATTATTAATGATATTAATAACTACAAATGTGTTAAGCTAATTTTTCTTAAGATAAAAGGTAAGAAAGAAGAAAACACTTTCTGGCTCAAGAAGCATTCCACAGTTTTACTTCTTATTTTGTGGATTGTTTTCTCTGTTGCACAGAAGCTTTTTAGTCTTATGTAGTCTCATTTGTTTATTTTTGTTTTTGTTGCCTGTGTTTTTGATGTCATATCAAAAGCCAGCATCAAGGATATTTGTCCCTGTGATTTTTTCTAGAATCATTTGAGTTTCAAGTCTTACATGGAGTCTTTAATCCATTTTAATTCTGAACTTTCATAACTGGTAAAAGGTATGGTCAGTTTTCTTCTTTTTATTTTTTTCTTTTTTGCAGGTAGATACCTACTTATACCAACATCATTTGTTGAAGAGACTATTCTATTTCCATTGTAAGTTATTAGTGCCCTTGTCAAAGATTAGTTAACCATATATACATGAGTTTATTTCTGGGCTTTTTATTCTGTTTCATTGGTCTATATGTCTGTTTTCATGCCAGACTGTACTGTTTTGGTTACTATAGCTTTGTAATGTAATTAGAAATCAAGAAGTATAATTCCTCCAGCTTTGTTATTTTTTAACAGATGGCTTTAGGTATTTGAGATATTTTGTGGATCCATATAAATTTCATGGTTTTAAAAAATTTCTAATGAAAAATGCCTTTGAAATTTTAATAGGGGTTGCATTGGATCTGTAGTTTGCTTTGTGTAGTACGGACATTTTACCAATATTGACTCTTCCAATCTAATAAATATCTTCTTATAAATTTGTGTCTTCTTCCATTCCTTTCACAAATCTTTTATAGTTTTCAGTATACAAATACTTCATCTCCATTGTTAAACTTTTTTCTGAGTATATAAATTTTTGATGATATTATAAATGAGATTCTTCCATAAGTTCTCTTTCAGATAGATTATTGTTAATGTAGAGAAATGACTAACATTTTAGTATTGCTTTTGTATCCTCTAACTTCATTGTTAGTTTTAACAATTTTTCAATGGAGTTTTTAGGGTTTTCTGTATGTAGGATTTTGTCATCTGCAAACAGAGACAATTTTACTTCTTTCTTTTTTCACTTTGCATGCCTTTGTTTTCCTTGTTTAATTGTTCTCACTAAAACTTCCAGTACTATAATAAATAGAAGTGGCAAGAGTAGGTGTGGTCATCTTGTTTCTGATCTTAGAGGAAAAGCTTTCAGCTTTTTACTGTTAAGTATAATGTTAGCCCTAGGCTTGTCATATGTGGCCTTTTCATGTTGAGGTACATTCATTCTATAAAAGATTTGTAAAGTGTTTTTTTTAATCAGCAAAGGATATTGTGGGAAAATATTTAAAAGCCATATATTTCATAAGGTGTTAATATCTAAATACATAAGAAACTCACACAACTCAATAGCAAATAAACAAAAAAATTTTTAAATGGATAAAGTAATTAAATTGACATATTTTATAATTAAAATAGACATAAAAATGGAGAACTGATATATGAAAATGTGTTTAGCCTCACTAATAAGCAGATAAATGCACATCAAAACCACAACGAGATATCACCTTACACCTATTAAGATTGCTATTATCAAAAAGGCAAGAGATAACAAATTTTGGAGAGTATGTAAAGAAAAAAACACATTTGGACACCTTTAAGCAGAATATAGACTGACACAGTCATTGTGTAAAAAATTAGAGAGTTTTCTAAAAAAAATAAAATAGAACTACCACATAATCCATAAATCCCACTTCTGGGTATACTTCCAAAGGAAATAAAATATCTCAAAGAGATATTTGCACTCTCATATTTATTGTGGCATTATTCACAAAAGCCAAGGTTTGGGAACAATGTATGTGTTCATTGACAGATGAATGGATGAAGCATTTGTTATATATATATATATATATATATATATATATATATATATATATATATATTCATGTATTCAGTAGAGTATTATTCAACCTTAAAAATGAAGGAAATTCTGCCATTTGAAACAATGTCGGTGAAAGTTGAGGCCATTATCGTAAGTGAAATAAGCCAGACACAAAAAGACAAATATTGTATGATTTTACTTCTATATGGAATCTGCAAAGAAAAAAAATCAAACTTATCATAATATAGAATAAAATGGTGGTTGCCAGGGAATGGGGCAGGGGAAATGGGGGGCTGTTAAAGGGCTCGAACTTTCAGTTTTAAGATGAGTAAGTCCTGAGTATCTAATGGACAATATGGTGGCTATAATTTATAATTCTGTATTATGTTCTTGAAATTTGCTAATACAGTAAGTAGATTTTAAGGAACCTCACCAAAAAAAAAAAAAAAAGAAAAAGGAAAAATAAGGCTACTGTATAAGGTGATACATGTGTTAATTAACTTGACTGTCGTTATCATTTCACAGTGTGTACACATATCAGTATATCCAGTCATCAGGTTGTACATGTTAAATATGTGCATGATTTCCTTAATTATACCTCAATAAAAGTGGGGTGAAAAATATTGTTCTATGAAGCACATAGACCCCTTAATTACATAGAAATTGTACATTGATTCTGTACTCATTTGCTGTTTTGAAAATTTTTATTTAAATATTTTATTTAATTTTATTTAAATATCACAAATGTATTTAAATAGGTATTACACACACTTTCTTAAAAGCCTATTTCATCTTATTATTTGCGATTATTCTTTTCATAAGGTAGAAACCAAATAATGATTCGAAGTACCTGGATTCTGAAACTTAATAGTATGACCAGTTTTTTTCTGGCCAATTTACTCAGAATGTGACTCCTGGTTAATTCATGAAAATGTCAATAAATTAGGAGCACTTTCTAGTGTGAAAAGATATCTTAGTTACACACAGTTCATTAATGCCACTAATGTGGTCACTCTTTACACCAAGTGTTGAATGTTACATTAATTTGGTAGAATATAAATGTTTCCTATGTGAATTAAATTTGTTAACCTCACATTTAATTCTTCTATAGCAATATTTCCCATTTAATGGAATTGAGCATGGATAAATACTGTAATGTATTTTCTAAGAGTCATTTAAGAGTATAATGAAATGATTTCTAACATATATCAATTTACTTCATTTTACATTATATAAACTCTTAAAATCTCATTTTTTAAATGAGTGAGATCATAAGGTTAAATATACCAAAATATCATTATTTGATCCACTCTGAATTTGAGAACATAGTGGCCAAATCCACTTGGAACTTAAAATATCAAGAGTCCATTTATTTTCTTACCTATAATTTCTAAATGGGACACCTGTTAGTTGAATTCTAACAACTTTTCTTCCCATCATCCATTCCCAGCATCCCTCTATTCATATCAAGGCATCAAGTGATGGCGTTGAGTCTGATTACACAGCCAGGCCTAGAGCTACGTGACGCCAGTCATTTTATTTTCTCCTTTTGTCTCCCCATTTGGTTCAGAGATGAGCATGTGACACAAATCAATCACTCTGAATCTCAGGATATATTTTGTGTAAGGTAGGAGAAAGCTACTCTCATTTTGTCAAACAAGAAGCATGACAAATGTACTTCTGTGAGATGCTAAAAGAAATATTGCAGCCATGGCTTCTTAGGATAAAGCAGTAATCAATATATGGAGATTAGAAATGAAAAGAAACATATTCCTTCTTAACACTGGTGATTCAATAATCAAATATTGCTTACAGCAAAATCTGACCTAATCTTCAATTGCATAAAGCAAATCAACCACATATTTAATTAAGATACACATGAACCAAAGTGTGTAAAACATAAATGTATGGCACAATAAATCATCACCCATGAAAATACTATTCAGGTGAAGAAACACAATATTATCATCACCCTCAAAGAAGCTCATTGATGCCCCTGGTCAATCACTATTTTTTACTTCCAGTACAGAGAAAACCAATGTACTACATTTTCACATAATTGTTTTTTCCTGAATTTGAGGTGTATATGCATATATATATATATATGCGCATATATATATGCGCATATATATATATAGTCTGCTTTAATTTCTAGCTTCTTTCCCTTAAAATTATGTTTACGAGAGTTTCTTTTTTGTTTTTTGTTTGTTTGTTTGTTTTGTTTTTTTTTTGAGACGGAGTCTCGCTTTGTCGCCCAGGCTGGATGGAGTGCAGTGGCGCAATCTCGGCTCACTGCAAGTTGCATGTCTCGGGTTCACGCCATTCTCCTGCCTCAGCCTCCCGAGTAGCTGGGACTACAGGCGCCCGCCACCAAGCCCGGCTAATTTTTGTATTTTTAGTAGAGACAAGGTTTCACTGTGTTAGCCAGGATGGTCTCGATCTCCTGACCTTGTCATCCGCCCACCTCGGCCTCCCAAAGTGCTAGGATTACAGGGATGAGCCACCGCGCCCGGACAGTTCATGAGAGTTTCTACGTGATGCAGTAATTCATTCATGTACATTGCTATAGAGTGTTCCTTTTCTGTTTGTTACACACTGATTTATCCATTCTACTGTCCATCCAGTAGTAGATTTTTTTTTCTTTTTTTGAGATGGAGTCTCGCTCTGTCCCTCAAGCTGGAGTGCAATGGTGTAATCTCAGCTCATTGCAACCTCCACCTCCCAGGTTCAAGCAGTTCTCCTGCCTCAGCCTCCCAAGTAGCTGTGATTACAGGCATGTGCCACTAGGTCTGGCTAATTTTGCATTTTTAGTAGAGATGGGGTTTCACCATGTTGGTCAGGCTGCTCTCAAACTCCTGACCTCAGGTGATCCACCCACCTTGGCCTCCTAAATTGCTGGGATTACAGGAGTGAGCCACAGCGCCCAGCCATGTTAATGGATATTATTATACACATCGCAGATATATTACCTCCACATGGCTTTGTATGTCTATTTCTTACTATTTTAAAGTTTTTCCAAGAACAACAGTTTTCATAATTTTTAAGAGAAATCTAACTTATCATTTAAGTATTAGTTTTTTAGGCTCTTGTAAGTACTCTTTGCTTACTCTGAGGTCATGAAAATAATATCCAAAATTATCTTCTAAAAGATTAATTGTTTTACTTTTCTTGTTCTGTTTTCAGTCCTGCTAAAATTTATTATTTGCATATAGAGTGAAATAAGAGTCAAGGTTATTTTTTGTTGTTGCTGACGTTTGTTTGTTTTCACTCATTGGGATATTCAACTGATTTAACACCATTCACTGAAAATTTTATTTTTTCTTTTTGCTTTGTAGTCCATCTTTGTTAAAAACTCAATGTCTTCAAATGCATGAGTCTGGTTGAACTCTATTGTATTCCATTTTTCCTCCTTGTCCCTTTTGAAGCCAATATTACACTAACATTAGCTTTGTAACAAGTCCCAGTATCCAGGAGTGTAAACTTGGTAAGTTGATTTTCTTTTTCAGGAGTACCTTAAATATTAATAAACTTGTAAATTTTAACAAATTATTGCTACATTATTTTCCCATTTCAGTACTTAGTTAATCAACTGCCACAATCTTCTGTAATTTGGTGTCTGGGTAAAGCAGATATGACTGTTCAAACTCAGCACAGTGGCCTGTCTGGACAAGCACCTGCCACATAACATGGGTCTACGGCAAACACTCTTCTCTGTAAATGTTCAAATTATTGCCATAGTAACCCAAAGTTTATAATAAAAACATCTGTAATCTGTATGTATTTGCTTTCTCTTAATTTATTTTGTAATGAGAAACAAACCTTGCATTCATAGAATTTGGCAGAGCTGACAAAAAATCACCCAAATACAGACAGCACTTGTAAGCAGCTGCCCAGGCAGGAACACCATGTGATTAGTTCTTGCCAGAAACATGTGAGCAAGCGTTTCTGCCCCTGTTTAAGGCCAAAGTGATTTCAAAAAGGGGCCTGCTTTCTCTGTGCTTTCTTTTCCCTTCCACTGGCTGGACTCAGGTAACTGGATTTAAGGAATTCTGGAGCCACTATCTGGCAGGGTGCCTCCTTGCAACCAGGAATATCTACCCAGAATCAGATGCCACAAAACTGATTTTTTTTTTAACCTAAGACAATTATTTCACTGATTCTTCTACTGTCTTCTTGAGATTAATATTTTGCTATTTTTTGACCTTTCTTTTTTAAATACAAGCATTGAAGACTACATATATTAGATTATTTTGGTATTTCTCTAAAGTTGCAATATGTAATATATTCATGATTGTGAGTTAGTTGTAATTTTTTCTAATTTCCATTCTATTTGATCATGATTTCTATTTAATTTTCTATTTTCTATTTGATTTATGGTTGAAGAAAAGGATCATCCATACTGTGTACACTATTTTAATCATATTTTGACACATAACTTATTTATATTGTAAGAAATAAGTGTGTTCTATCACATAAACTCTAAATATTGCACAAGTAATTTTCACAAGCATGTCATATGTTTTTCTGTAACTGTTGCTTTCAGACTTGTACATAGCTAAGAGATTAAAAATTTAAAAACTTTAATTCCGTTTAGCAAATTTGCTATATGTCTGTAGCTTTTTGTTGTTGCTGTTGTTTAAATTAGGTTGAACTGACTACTAAGACATATCAGATGTTTCATTTTGATGATCAATTGGTCTATGATTTTATGTATAAAATAAGACTAGGCTTTTAGCTATAATTATTTTTCTTGTGTAAATTACTATTCATATAGGAATTCTTTAGGTTTGTGTATTTAGGTACGTATTCAATCTCTTTTTTTAAAAAAGGCTGGTTTAAGAATAATTTCCTCCAGAAATTATTTATATTTGTTTCTGTCAGAAATTTAAGGTCAGCCACCTGGGAATAATAAACCACATGTTTAGGCTGTTTTTCTGGAAAACGTATATTACATGAATTTAGTGTAACAACACTTTTTATCTCTGGTTTATGTTGAAGATTTCTTATGTGAGATGTTTTTCCATTTATTTTTGCATTTTATGGTCAGTTCCAAAGATAAAATTCTAGTAATCCAGTGATGGTTAGGGAAGTGGAGACAAAGAGCTTATAGACAGAGTTAATTCAAATTTATAAGAAAGTAGTCTTTGGGCACCAGACTGTCAACGTTTTTTATTAGTTTTCCCACTATGTATGGGACCTAGGCTTTGTCTGCCAACCTCCAAGACTTGAGACATTATGAAAAACTACTCATGATTTCACTAAATTTGACAAATACCTTCAAGGTGAATGTCAACTACATGGCTTGTTTTATATCTCTGAGTTATAGCTTTCTTTTAGATTTTGGCCTTGATACTCCTTACTTTATTTTGCTAGTTCATAGATGCATTTAAAAATTTATTTATTTATATATCATTTGCATTTTTTTTTGTTTTCAACAGCTATTTGAACCATATTGCGAGATATAAGAATACTATGTCTAATATATCGTGCCGATCTTTGTACAGATTAAAACATGTTTCTCTTATTTCATCTATCACAACATCTAACTAATAATAAATATGTAATTAATTTTTGATTATTATTTTATTGATATTCAAATCACCTTAGTTTAACTGAAACGACCATGTACATAGCTAGCATGCTTCTCTGCGATACAACGTAACTGTCTTTATGGATACGTCAGTCTGGTGAGAAAGACTTACCTATGTGAATGTAAATATAATAAAGGGAATATTGACTCATTATATGTTTTAGATAGTGACTTAACTAGTGCTTTAGCTATTTTTAAAGTTCTGCCTTTTTTCAGGATATATTTTAATGCAACCTGTATAATAAGGTACAAAATAAAAATACACAAAAATAAGCATATTAGGATTTCAGGTAAAATAAATCTCTGTGGCCCTATGTGCTCTGTTCCTGGCTACTTTTAAAATTGTATTCCCCTTGACGACTCCACTGGCTTACTCCCTACTGAAACTCAGGCTGACCCTGGCACTGGCCATGTTCTTTCCTAACACAGAGACTTTGCATATACTGTAACAACTAACTGGAATCCTTCTCTCCAAGTCTTCATGAAATCATTACATACTTTCTATTCAGTCATCCCTTCTCCAGAGAGGTATTTCCAGTTAATTCTTGTTAAAGCAGGCATCTTCCCCTATTATAATTTATTATCCTATCCTAAATATTCTTTAGAAGTACCTGGAATTATAACATGCATTTTAATTGCTTAGTAATTGTGTGCCTTTCTTAAAGAATTATTTTATTTTTATCACCCTAATACAATAGATTAATGATGAGACTAAAAGTGCTCAATAAATCACTGTAAAGTGAGTGTATAATGCAATATTGCATTATTTACACATGTTCACGAAATGAGCATTTTCCTGATACCTAATAAAAGAAACAGAAAACCATGTAAAATTGAAAATCTATGTCTACAGGAAAGGGAAAAGGTTTAAATAAATAAATAGTCTAAACACACAAAATTACAGGAGATAATTTATACTGCCATAAAGCCAACACACAAAAACAACACCAAGAGTTTAAAAATATTTTCTAGTTTGTGATAACACTGCAGTACTAATAGGGCTAATTGGAGAAAATCTCAAAGGGTCTCACATTGTCTAGTTTGAAGAAAAATAAATGATAAAGGGCTTGTACTGCCAAGATACAGCAGATTTATTTATCTTGGAATACGCTCTTGAGTAACAGAAGTGACCAAAACATATTTTGATGTATCTTTGTGGTCACTTCTGTTACTCAAGAGTGTATAGACTTATTATTTTTCTACTCATGTCTTCTAAACACAACTGAATACCGAGGAAATTATTAAATGGATTTTTTTTAAAACTCTGAAAGCCAGCAGATTGTCTTGGACCTCAGGAATTGAAGAAGTACAATGTGGTGAATTTTCTGGGTTTTGTTTTTCTTTTTGAATATCCCAGGACTGGAAAGTGCAACACCAAATCACTGATAGTCCTAAGCAAAAGAACAACAACAATGAAATAACAACAAAAAACTCAAATAAGAATAGTCTATTCTTTCTGGCTTTATAAAGGATCTAGAAAGCGGAAGCCCAACAGAGACCCAGCAGAGAATCCCAGTTCTGACTCAACTGGAAACCTGAAGCAGTGTCAGGTAAAAATTTGGTCAATGTTGATGATCTTATTCATTAGTATAAGAAGTAACAATAAATGCTGAAGGCATCCTTGTCTCTGCGCAACATCCAGGAAACAACTGATGAATCTGACAAAAATCACAGTGATGCCCTGACCATCCCAGGCCAAGCTTCATAACCCAGACCTGGTGAGTGGATGAATGGATAAGCAGCTGTAGTGGCCAAGGGTTCATGGTTTGTTCTGGACCCTGTGCTACAACTAGGTTACCAGTAACCAGACCGGTCCTTCAACAGCTGCAGCAGCTGCAAAGCCCTGCATCTCCCTGCTTTCTATGAAGAGACCCAGGCCCAGTGGCTTATGACCACTTCCCTCCAAAGATTTCCCACTGTTGACAGGAAGCTCATTTAAGTTCTTTCTGTCTCTGGAGGTGGCACCAACGGGGATTGGACAGGACCCCCTGGAGCACCAAACAAATGAAGCAGAGTAGAATAGCTTTGCTTAGGGGAAGAAAATGAAACAATCAGTGAAACAGCAACAAAACTGGCTACAAAACTGAGGACTGCCTACTAAAATAAATAATTGAAATAAGATCAAGAGTCTCCTAACATAATCACCAAAACGTTCAAAGCACAGGTGAAAATCAGTCACTTGTTATGTGAAAAATCAGAAAAACCTCAATTTGAATGAGAAAGACAGTAAACTAACACCAATATAAGAACATGATGTAGATATTATCTGATAAGGATTTTACATCAGACATCCAAAAAATGCTTCAGCAATTAATTCCACATTTCCTTAAACCGAACAAAAAGTAAAAACTTGCATCAAAGAAAAAGAAAAACATATTATAAGACAGAAACAAACAGGGGACTTCCACTTCCAAGAAAATGAAATATTAGTACTATTTTTATTTCTCCCCTAAGTACAATGAACTTGGACATTATATATAAAACTGACATATGAAAACTGAACATTGGAGAGAATGGTCAGACTGGGTAAGGCCTGCGTGACCTGAAAACAACATGGTGGTGAGTTTCAGAGTTTTCTTATTGTTTCACGTTTCCCAAAATAGGTCCTGAAGTATCCAGCAACTTGAAATGCCCATATATGTAAATAGCAAATGCCCTAACAGAAGCTAGCCCTCTGTAGTGAAAAACAATAACAACAACAACAAACAACAAACAAACAACAAACAAACAAATCAGGAAAAAGCCAGCTTAGAATGACAGAAAGTATTTAGAAAAAAACAACCAAACACCCTATAATAAAAATGTAGCTCTACCTCTATCTATGTCAGCTAAGGCTGAGTGATTTTTTTGAAAAGATAACCAAAACTGAAAAACCTATTGCTAAACTAAGAAACAAGCAAAAGAGAGATCTCGAATGAATAAAATCTGAGATAAAAAGGGAGATATTACAACTAATACCACAGGAATACGAAGGATTGTAAGAAACTATTATGACCTATTATACACCAACAAATTGGAAAACTTCAAAAAACTAGGTAAATTCCTGGACACATATAAGCCACCAAGATTGAACTATGAAGAAAAAAAATCTGATTAGACCAATGAGTATGGAGATTGAATCAGTAAGACCAATGAGTATGGAGATTGAATCAGTAACAACAATTCAACTATTAAAGAAAAGCCCAGGACCTGATGGCTTCATGGCTGAATTCCATCAAACATTTACAGAAGAGCTAATATCACTTCTTTTCAAACTATATTAAAAAATAGAAAAAGAGAGATTTCTTTCTAACCCATCCTACGAGAACAATGTTACTCTGATTCCAAAACACAAGAAAGACAAGGACACAAGCAAAACAAAACTACAGGCTAATATCCCTGGTGAACATAACAACAAGAACAACAACAATAAACTAGTAAATCAAATTCAACAGCACATTAAAATGGTTATTGGAAATGATGAAGATTTATCACAAAAATGCAAGAATTATTCAATATACACAAAGTAATAAATGTGATAAACCATATTAACAGAGTGAAGGACAAAATCTATATGATTATTCCAATAGACACAAAAAAATTTAACAAAATTCAACATTCCTTCACAATGGAAACTCTCAACAAATTAGTTATAGAAGGACTGTACCTAAACATAATTAAGGCCACATATACAAACCCACAGCTAATATAATACTGAATGAGGAAAGTTAAAGCTTTTCCTCTAAGATCTAGAAAAAGATAAGAATACTCACTTTTACCATTCCAATTTAGCGTAGTACTGGAGGTCTTAGCCAGAGCAATTAGACAAGAAAAGGAAATAAAAAGCATCCAAATTGGAAAGTAGAAGGTTAAATTGTTTGTTTGCTAACAATATGATCTTATATATAGACAACCCTAAACATGGCACTGAAAAGCTGTTAGAACTAATAAACAAGTTCAATAAAGTTGTGAGTTATGAATTTAAAATGCAGAAATCAATAGAATTTCTACAGATTAATGGAGATCTATCTGAACAAAAAAAAAATAATAATCTCATTTGTACTAGCTCCAAAAGAAATCCATAAGAATACATTTAACCAATGAGGTAAAATATCTCTATAACAAAAACTATGCAATATAAAACATTTGTGAAAGAAATTGAAGATGGCACAAGTAAATTGAATGACATGCCACATTCATGGATTGGAAGAATTAATATTGTTAAAAAGCCCATGCAACTCAAAGCAGTCTACAGATTCAATGAAATCCCTATCTAAATACCAATGGCATTTTTCACAGAAATAGAAAAAACAGTCTTAAAATTTTTGTGGAACCACAGAACATCTGAGCAGCTAAATCAATCTTTAGCAAAGAGCAAAGCTGGAAGCATCACACTACCTGAACTCAAAGTGTTCTAAAAACTATAATAACCAAAACAGAATGGTCGTGGCATATAAATAGACACAGACCAATGGAATACAAGAGAGCCCAGAAATTAATCCCCAATTTACAGCCAACTTATACTCAACAAATGTGCCAAGAGCACAGCTTGGAGAAAGGACAGTCTCTTCAATAATCAGTGTTGATAAAGCTATGGGTATCCACATGCAGAAGAATGAAATAAACCCCTATCTCTCACCATATACAAAAATCCACTCTAAGTGGATTAAAGACTTAAGTGTAAGACCTGGAACTATGCAATTACTCAAAGAAAACATAGTGAAAATACTTCATAACATGGGTCTGGGTAAGAATTTTTTAGATAACACCTCAATAACATTGGCAACAAAAGCAAAAATAGACATGACATTACATCAAACTAACAACCTTCTGCACAGCATAAGATACAATCAACAGAGCTAAAAAACAACCTACCAAATGGGAGAAAATATTTACAAACTCTACATCTGACCAGGGACTAATGTCCAAAATATATAAAAAACTCAAACAACTCAATAGCAAAAAATCCCACTAAAAAACAGGAAAAAGACCTAAAAGACCTTATGTAAAAGAAGACATACAATTGGCCAAAGGTATATGAAAAATGTTCAACATCACTAGTCATCAGAGAGATGCAAATTAAAATCACAGTAAGATATTTTCTCACCCCAATTAAAATGATCATTATCAAACATGCAAAAGATAACAAGCTGAAGTGAGGATGTGGAGAAAAGAGAATCCTTATACATTGTCGGTGGGAATGTAAATTAGTGCAGACATTACAGAAAGCAGTATGGAGTTGTCTCAAAAAATAAAAAATAGAACTACCATATGACCCAGAAATTCCACTACAAAGTATATATATGAAAGAATTGAAATTAGTATGTTGAAGATATATTTGCGCTACCATGTTTATTGCAGCATTATTAACAATAGCAAAGACATGGAATCAACCTAAGTGTTCCTCAAGAGATGGATAAATAGAATGTGGTATACATGCACAATGGAATACTATTCAGCCACAAATAGAATGAAATCCTGCCAGTTGCCCCAACATGGATGAACCTGGAGGTCATCATGTTACGTAAAGTGGACCAGTCACATAAGACAAATTACATGTAATCTCATTCATATGTAAAAATCACAAAAATTGGTCATGTAGAAGTAGAGTGTAGAATGGTGGTTACCAGAAGTTGAGGTGGTTAAAAGTGAGAGGGAAATTGGAAGATTTTAGTTAAAGGACACATACTTACAGTTAGAGGGGAGGGATGCTTTTCAAGAAATCTATTGTACAGCGAAGTGACTATACTTAATGAAAACATTGTATTTATGAAAAATGTAAAGAGAGTGGATGTTACATGCTCTTACCACAAAAATAATAAATATGTGAGTCAATGCATTTGTTAGTTGGCTAAATTTAACCTTTCCACAATATGTACTTCAAAATATCACATTGTACATAATAAAACCATAAAATATTAACTGTCATTTATAAAAATAATAATTATGTACTTTTAAATACAACTTTCCTCAAACAGTGCTATAGCAATTCAACATCCATAGGCAAACTCATTATACAAGAATAACTTATTATTTAAGCCTAACTTATTATACAAGAATAAGGTCAAAAATTACATATACTAAATGTAAAACATAGCACTTTAAAAGAAAAATATAGGAAATTTTTAGAATCTTGTGCTGGCTAAGAGTTCTTAGACTTGGTGCCCAAAATAATAATCCATAAAATTGAAAAACGGTGTACTCCATTGAAATTAATTATTTTTGCTCTGCAAAAGAGTGTACTGAGAATATAAAAAGACAAACTTTGCATTTGGAAAGAAAATATTTGCAAACCACATATCCAATGGAATAGAGGTTAGAACATAAAAAGAATACTCAAAACAGAGTAGCTAAGGGAAAAAAGGAAACAATACAAACAAAAAAGGCAAAAAAAAAGACATCACAGCAAAGAAGGGAAAATATACATATGTACACACATGGTAAATAAACACATGAAAATATGTTCAATCTCAGTAGCACTTAAGGCCATGGAAATAAAATTACAACAAGATATCAGTACATGCTTGGCAGAATAGCTTTAAAAAGTGATGACATCAAATGCTGGTGAAGATTAGTAAGATCTCTCATACATTGCTAATAGGAATATAAAATTATACTGATAATCTACAAGACATTTTGGCAGCTTCTTAAAAAGTTAAGTATGACTTTACCATACATCACAGTAAATACTTTTCTGGGCATTTATCCTAGCAAAATGAAAAATTTATGTTTACAAATATCCCATAAACAAATGTCTATACTAGCTTTATTAACAAAAGCCAAAAACTGTAAACAACTCAGAGGTCTTTCAGTGAATGAATTGTTTAACTCTGGTACATAAAAAACATGGAACATTTCTCATCAATAAAAAGGAAACAAGGACTAATCTATGCAACAACCTAGAATTAGCAAAGAAAAAAAAACAAATTTCTAGTGAATTATGCTGAGTATAATCACCAGTTTTAAAAGGTCAAACACTCAATGACAAAATCACAAATGGAAATCACGAAATTATAAAAATGAATGCTTGAAGAGGTTTGAAGAGGGAGTGGGAGTGTGAAGGAATTGGACACATAAAAGGGCAATCTAAAAATCGGTTTGGTAATTGAAATGTTTGTACTTTGTCCAATGTCAACATTCTTGTTGTGATAGTGTACCAGTTTTGCAAGGTACAAATATTGTAGAATCCTGGGAAAAGAGTATATAAAATGTCTTTGTACTATTTCTGACAAATGCATGTGAATCTGTAATTATCTCAGAATAAACAGTTTGATTTTAAATTAAAGCACTACATGAAAATATGAAACTTAAATTAACAAAAATCAGTAAAAAAAAATCTTGCGTGTAGCCTCGACAGTTGAATGATTGAATGGAAATAAAAAAGGTAGAATTACTATGGTTGATAACAAATTAATATAATTCACTCTGTCTGAAAAAATATAGACAATAAATTTTCAGACAACTCATGAGCTGATCTCAGGGATCTACAGGAAAATAAAAAAAAAATCTAACATTCTTACCATCAATATTCTTAGAAGGAAAGAGAAAAAGCACAAAGTTCAAAAGGTATTTAATGAAATAATGGCTGAAAACTTCCTAAATTTGGGGAAACATAAATTTGTAAATACAGGAAGCTGAGTAAATTTCATAACAGATTACGTTTCCATCAAGAATAAGCCCAAAGAAAAGCAGAATAAATCACATAATAAGGAAATATCTGCAAAGACAAAAATTATTTTTTATAAAGAGAATAAGAAATAAGTCATTGCTTAAAAAGGAATACCAAATTGAACTACAGCCGATTTCTCATCTGAAACAAAGGAGTTCAGAAGGAATTGACATGATGTCTTTTGGTGCTGCAATAAAAGAACTGTCAACTCAAAATCCTATATCCAGTGAAACTATCCTTTAGCAATGAAAAAGTAAATAAATAAAGACATTATCAGACAGCAGGAAAAAAAAGAATTTGTTGCTAGCAAAACTATCCTTAAAATGGCAATAGGAAGCTCAAGAAACAGAAATAAAACGAAAATAGAATAAGGCTGTAAACTTCAGAAATGAAAGAACAATAAAATAGGTAACGAGTCTGTAAACATAACAGACTATTCTCCTCCTGAGATTTTTAAATCATATGTTAGAGTTGAAGGAAAAGCTATGATGCTAACTGATGTGTACTCAATATATGTTGCGGAAAGACTTGCCAATTGTTTTTTAAATGGGAAAGAGAAATGAACAAAAATGAAAAGATTTCAACACTTCACTTGAATAAGTAAAACATTAACATCAATAGTCTGTAATAAGTTAAACCTGTATATGACTATATAGAGAGCAACCACTAAGCCAAATACATCAAGTGATACAATAAAAATAAATAAATTAATTAAAATGAAACTAAAATGTGTTTAAGTATTTCAAAGAAATGTGAGAATAATGAAAAAGAGTAATGGACAATAGATGAAAGAAGCAGAAAAAAGTTATAAAATGGTAGACTAAAGACCTAGATTAAAAATAATAGATTTAAATGTAAATAAGTACATCCATTAAAATACAAGTTGGTAGAGCAGATTTTTAAAGATGAATGAAATCTCTGCTACTTACAAGAAGCTCATGTTAAACATAATGACATATGTGATTTGAAAGTAAAATAATGGAAAATAGCTATATTATGCAAATTAATATTAGATAAAATATGACTAAATATAAATATAAAATATTAGATTTAAAAAGAAAATTACCAGGAAAAAAGAGGAATATTAAACATTTATAAAATAATCCACCAAAAAGAGGTAGCAATTCTAAGCATATATACACTAAAAACAGAATTTCAAAACAAATTAGGAAAAATAATAATAAAGGTGAAAGGAAAAATAGACAAAGCCACAATTATAGTTGGGAATTTCAACAAAGGATAGAAATACTGATAGTCATTCAGTAAAGACATGGTTGAAATGAACAGTATCATCAATTAACATAATTACATTAACATTTACAGAACACTGTACCCAACAATAACTGAACACACATTCAAGTGCCTGTGGAATAAATAATTGACCAAGATAGATCTCATACTGAGTCATATAAAAAATCTGATCAGTTTTAGATAATTAAAATTATATAATGTATTTTCATTTAAATCTCTGACAATTGAATCTAATTAGAAATCAATAACAGAGAGACAACAGGAAAAGCTCTAAACACTTGGAAATTCAACAACATACTTTTAAATAATGCAAGAATCAATGAGGAAATTTTAAGGAACATGAAAAAATACTCAGAACAGCAAAAATAAAAACACAACAAAGATTGTGGGATGCAAAAAGCAAAGTTGAAGAAAATTTGTAGCAATTAATGGTTAAATAGAAAGTTATAAAATCAATCATCTAAGTTTCTACTTCAAGAAACTAGAAAAAGAAGAGCAAAATAAACACAAATCAAGTCAAACATAGAAAATAATAAAGAACAGAAATCAATGGTGTTGGAATCAGGAAAGCAATAGAGAAATCAATGACAAAAAGGTTGTTCTTCAATAATATCAGTGAAGTTGATAAACTTCCAGCAAGTTAAATAAAGATTAAAACAAATATTTAAATCAACAATATCAGGAATGAAATGGGATACTATGAAATATTCTCAAGCCATAAAATAGATAATATGAGACTTGCAGTTTCAGGTCCGTGTGTAAAAATTTTTGAAGTCATCACTCACATTCTTTCAGCAAGAAAAACCTAAGAAAAACAGAAAAACAAACAGGTTATTTTTGAGCCCATTAGAGAACTCAGAATGCCCAATAAACCATCACCCCTAAAACTGGAGAAACAGGAGGATCAAAGAGAGTCACAACTGAGATCTGTTTACCTGGAGAAGAAGCTGTGGATTGAACAGAAACCTAAAATGCAAAATTTGATTAACTTCTGCAGGTAGAGTTTGAACTAGGATGAGAATAAGAAATTCCCTGGCCCTGCAGTTTTGCGAGGAAGCCACACAATTTTGTCGGATTTATCAAGAAGAACTCCATTATATTCTCACAGTGAAATGTTCCTCAGAGCTCACTTTAGCAGAATCAGGGGAGAAAGCCGGATCATTATTAAATACACCTAGAACTTTCTTCATAACAAAGCTTTATATTCCAGTGGAAAAGACTTTGACAGAGTCTTATTCAAGCATGAAAAACAAAAACAAAAAGTGTTTTTCCTAATACAGTGTACTCTAGCCTTCATGTCTAACTTACAGGGAAAAAAATAGCTGATAAACATTTGAAAAGTTCACAGCCCAGAGAAACATGCCAAAAGAACGAGGTTTAACAATAAAAATATAAAGCCATTTTTCCCCTATAACTTTACATTACAACAGGACTCTAATATAACAGTGGATTACAGTGGAAGGAACTGTAAGATAAGGCCTCTCTAAGGAGATATTAATGTTGTAACAATAACACTCCATTGAGTGATTGTTGCATTTAAACATGTAATATGAGTGACAGCAATGTCATAAGTAATACGCAAAATAAACTGGAATTATGTTATATAAGGTACCTAGAATGGAATACTGTTATTAGAAGGTGAATATAGATTAGGTAAAAGCATACTGTCACAGGTTCCTTGGGGTGTCTCTTCACCAGCCAGAAGCCTGTGTGGCTGGTGGTGCCTTTGCCTGAGTTTTGCTTGGGCCTATTGGGCTTATTCCACCCACTTGGCCTGGCAAGCTGCACTTGGCTCATGCTACCAGCCCAGATCCCACAACTGCCAAGGGCGAGCCAGGCACAGAGTGGAGAGGGGTGAGTGAGCGAGCATGCACAGAGTCCTGCCACTGCGCACAGCCAGGCACAACAGCTGTGGCGGGGCAGGCAGCTCCAGGCACCAGCATGGGTGCTGGCTCCCTGCAAGGCTGTGGCCGGACCAGGCAGCTTCCACTTCAGGCACCAAGAAACACAGTAGTGTCCAGAAGCTTGGAGATACCAGGAACCACAGAGCCCCAAGGCTGGTATCACCACCCTGGTTCGGGGAGCTCCTATCTGGGGTCCCTGAAGTCCCACAGCTTTTCTCTCCTCCTCTCTTTTCTCCTTCTTGTCACCCACAATATGGTGAATGACGGGCATGTTTCATCACTGTTTGTGTTACAATTCTTTCAGTCCCACTATTCAGTGGGTCCAGAGTTCTTGTCCCATAACCAGGAACAATGAGATATATGGACAACTGAATGGTGAGTAAGGTAAAGAGGTGCTTTACTGAGTGATAGTACAGCTCTCAGGAGACTCAAAGTAGGTAGATCCTTTCCATAGAGAGGTCATCCCAACAAATGCAGGCCTGAGCAGAGAGGAGATCCAGAGCAGGTAGTTCCTATCCGCAGGCATGTCATCGCAACGTCTGCCCAGCTCTGAGCTGAGAGGAGACCCATAGTGGGTAGCTCCTCTCTGCAGACAGGTCCTCCTGATATCTGCCTGCATCTGGCTGAATCCAGGGTTTTTATGGGCTTCAGAGGGTAGGAAGTGTGTGCTGATTGGTCCATGGGCAGTTATGAACAGGTCCAGAAAAAGCACTATAAGTTCTCACTCCAGTCCACAGAGTTGACAGCCCAGACCCCATGCTCAAGACCATCCCTGGTCTGAAGGTGGGCCTTCACTGGGATCCACCCCTTTCTGCCCAGGAGCTTCTCTGTCTCCCATGGACATCAACCTGCCATCCCCGAAGCCCAGGATATTCGTGGTGAGGGATGGCTGCAGGTCCATGATGAGCTGCCCTCAGCCCTGCCTTGGCCTCCCTCCCATGCTAGTGGGCTCCCAAAGTCCAGAAGGGGCTGAAGTGGTAGGGGACTGGTGTGTCAGCACTGTCCCAAGTGCATGCACATCCAGCCAGGTTGTGACAGTACCCAAGCTTGGCTTCATCTTTGCTCTGAAAACAGAGTGAGCACTGGGAGCAGGGAGTGGCCGAGCAGCAGGAGCAGGCAACTCTGAGCCTATGGGGACAGAGTGCTTCCTGGGCCTGAGAGTGCAGAGATACCCCTGTGGCTGGGCAGCTGCAGCTGTGCCTGGAAGGGCGTGGCTTGGAAGGGGGCGGGGCTTCTGTCTGTTCCTGGGTCTTCCTCTAACCTGCCTCCATGGAGTGGGCAGCCCTGGCTGTGACTTCCCCATTGCAGCCGGCATCATGGCAGCCCACTCCAAAATGGGCTGCTGCTGCCATTACTACATTGTATTCTCTAGAGAAACCATTATAAAGAGGTGTAATTGATGTCTCAGGATTCTACAAGAGAAACAGAACCTGTAGGAGATATGTATTTAGAGATTTATTGCAAATAATTGTTTTATGTGATTGTGGTAGATGGCAAAACAAATCCAAAATCCATACAGCAGGCCATCAGGAAGGGCTGTCTGGAACTGGGGTTATGTGTTATTGGGATGCTGTGATTATGTGTAATTTTTTTTCTGTATATTCTCTATTTCTTAAATTTGTATGGTTTATAGCTTATTATATAAAAAATCACAAACAAACAGCATAAAAAATTAAAATATGTCTATTTTTCATTTTGATTTATAGACTCTTGTTAAATTACTGTGGGGGAGGGAAATAGGGAAAACATAGAAACCAAAAAACCCACTTACATATATTACAACAATTAAATAATTTATATTAAATATAAATATGACATAGATACACTGATTTGTGGTTACTAGAAAGATGTGGCCCAGTCAGAATAAATTCAACTAATCATTGATAGTTATAAAATAGTATCTTTCAAGTATTTTGTTTTGATACGATTATATTCCACAGGAAGTATATAACCATTTCACTATGCTGACACAAATCATATTGTTCTTTGTTGATTTTAGAAAGTGCTGTTTATTCCACAAAAATCCTCACATTTCCCAGGTGAAGTCATGCCTGACAATTTGTAATAACATAAACTCAATTTGGCTTGAACTGAATCTTAAATTCAAAAAACAAAAAGAGCTAATCTAATGTTTGGCGAAAAGCAAGTGTCATGAAAGTGGATTAACAGCTCTGATGACTAAAGTATTTTATTTATCAATTGACTGAGAGAATTAAATAGTCAATAGAATGTAGGCAATTTAAAGCTCAGTCAACCATAAACCTAAGGGGCCAATTCTAGGAGTTACTGTGTTATTCAGTTTTAATATTCATTCAGTCCTTGATAGCTCTGTTGAGGATGTGAAGTAGTCACTGAACACTGTGATGCTGGTTTATTATTATTATTATCAGAATTATTTAATGACTTGCCACTGAATTGGATCCAATGACTTCTTTCTCAGAGCTTAATGATCAATAAAGAGTTCCTGAAAGATTGAATTTTAATTTATGAAATTCAAATAATGACCTTTGCATGTATATAGGTACTTAGATTTACCTATTCTATCTACCTTTGCGTTACATATTTGCCCTAATTACAGTGCATATTTACCTCCTTCTGTGTTTTCTTCTTTGGGCAGGGAAGTTTTTCTAATTATTATTATTTTTATTCTACAAATTTGGAATGTTTCTGTACTTCAGTGATTACACTGAACAGTTAACTTTCCTGTTTAAAATAGGAAAGTATAAAATATGTCATAATCTTTGTTCTCTTTCTGAACAACAAAATAAACTGAAAACGTTTTAATTAAGATGGTCTACCTCTCAATTTGCATATCCAGATTTATCATATTTTCCAACAGAATATACTATATATGGATTGTTGTCAGAATTTTGAAAACTCACTAATAATTTGCCTTATCTAGGTGGTCCATAGGCTCTTGGTGCACTGTTTTTACAGACCTATCGGCCTTATTTCTGAAGTAGATCTTTAAAAACTCTTTAATGAAGTTCTGTCACTAGTGAATGATAATGAGATTTTATTAAGAATAAATGGCTCTTTTTTGGCCTTGTATTTTCTGGATATGCCATTCTAGATTACAATTCCATTGTGATACAAAGGACAAAAATCATATGGAAAATATTGTTAAAATTGAACTCATTAAAACTGAGAACTTTGGCTTATAAATAAAAATATACCATGAAATCAAAAGGTAAATCAAAAACTTGAGAGATATTTATAATTTAATCTTCAAGCAGTGATCAAGAAATCAATAAAAAGTAAACCAATTTAAAAGATAACATATGTGACTGCCATACATATGAAAATGTGCTCAACCTTTGAATAACCAGAAAAATAGAAATGAAAATTACTCAATATATAACTTTAGAGTCACCATGTTGGCAAGATTTAAAAAAATTATTAATTAGAACTTTTGTTGAGATTGTTTACAAAATTCTGCTTCATAAATTAGAAATGGAGTATACACCAATACAACTGCATTAAGAAAACTGTTCAGTTCTCTAGTAGATGTCAGTTGGCTTGTACCTTACAGTCAGAAGCACTACTAAAAATATACTTCCTTAACATGTTCCTCAAAGACATGTATAATGATGTTCGTAAATCAGGAATGGAAAACCAAACATCATATGTTCTAACTGATACGTGGGAGCTAAACTATGAGGATGGAAAGGCATAAGAATGATACAACGGACTTTGGGGACTTAGGGGGAAGAGTGGGAGGGGGTGAGGGATAAAAGACTACAAATATGGTGCTATGTATACTGCTCAGGTGATGGGTGCACCAAAATTTCATGAATCACCATTGAAGTACTTACTCATGTAACCAAATACCACCTGTACCCCAATAACTTATGGAAAAAAAATAACATAAGTTATTGACTGGCTATACATTGCTTGTGATATTCTTTGTATAACGAATTACAGGAGCATAAAGATAATGGGTGAGGCAGAAAAAAAATAACTAAAGCAACCATAACAAAAACTGCAGTAGCAAACATCCTAAAAGAAAACTAAAGTGTAATTAGACAAAATATAGTTGCAAAAAATGACGTTAATTAGGCTACAGTGTTGAGATGGCAAAGCAATTCTCTAATGAATATATATTATATGTTTTCATTCAATTTTCTAAAAATGTATGATATTGTGCAGTATACTGTTTAGAGACTCATACATGTGATAAAACTATAAAGCAAAGCAAAGGTGTAATAAATACAAATTCCAGGTAAGTAACTCCATTTAGGTGGAATGCAGAAAGATGTAATTTTGGAGAGTTATAGAGAAGACTATAAAAGTGTTTATTTTTTTTATAAATGTGGGTATGTGTAATTTTTAAAAATAATTTTAGGCACATATATGTTACATATACTCTTCTCTGAGTTTGAAATACTTCATAATCTCAAAATTTTTTAAATGATAAATTTGTCTATCTCAGTCCCACAGTCATATAATTCAGCACCCCAGAGAACTGTTAGAACTCATGCTGTATATCATTTAAGAGAAATCTAGGTATAGATTCATAACTGCCTACGATAAAACTTTTCTGCATTTTAATTTTCACTTAAAATTATATCCACCTAATTTTATATATTTCTAATGGGTATATATCTCCAATGACAACTGAAGAAATTATAATTTAAATCATCTGATTAAAATATGTTAATGTAATATAATTACTGTAACTTATGAATTTTTTTAATATATGAAAAGCTGCATGTTGGTTCTTTTATTTTGCTATATATATTTTAAACTCTTTTATTTTTGGTAGAAATTTAGTTTTTGTACAATCTTTGCTCTTAAGAAGACTACTGAAATGATAATGTCATCTGTATGCCTATCAATTTATCTATCTGCATGCATAACTACACGATTGTGTTTATGTCTAAATATAGGGTAAATTCTTGAAATGTTCATAATTAACAATGTGAACATTAAATGTTGATAAGTATAGATCAGTATTTCTTAACAGGAATTTTGCTCCACTTAAAATCCACATCTCCTCCTACACCAAAAATTATTATTAATCTTTCACCTATTTTATTTTTTCTAATTTCTGCTACAAGTAGCTCTTTATCATATTTTTTAAATTGTGACTAGAATTGCCTGTTTCTTATACATTAGGGTAGTAATGTCAGTTTACATGTTTCTTCTAAAAAAAATCTTGCCAATATTTTTAAGGCAACAATGTATATTTATACATAAGCAGGATAATTGACACCACAATTTGAATTTTTATTCAATTTTATTTTGAATTATGACAATAAGGGTAAATTTCAATTTTCTATTTGATCCGTGATGTACAATTTATTTCATATATTCAAATGATTAAATTTGTTTATGTATATTTTTCAAGAAAGGCATTTTTTAAAGTTCTCAAATTTGTTTGCAAAAATGAAGCAAAATGCTGCATTTTATTCTTATCTTTCTTTCTTCATACTTGCTTGTTACTCTGAGCTTCCCCTGTTCCCACTTAATAATAGTATCTAATATAGTATGTTTTACATAGTTGAACTTGTTTGTTTTCTAAGACAGCACTTTTTGGAATTATTTACTAGTTGTAACTTTTTTTCTGAGGTTTCTGGATTGTTAAACTTTTAATTTCATTTTTAATAATACCTTTTTCTATATGACTTGTTGATTAGCTTTATTGTCATTTGACTTACATTCATATGTAAAATGTCAAAACTTTGATAAGTTTTAACACGTATGTGTCCATGAAATTGTTTCTTCATTCACTTAACTATATCTTCTGAAGAGCAGAAACTTTTTTGTTATATAAGCTTTTATTTGATATATAAACTTTGATGAAATTTAATTATCATCTTTTTTATAGACTTTGGAGTTGCATCTTAGAAATCTTCACATAATCCAGTGCAGCAATAGTATTCTTCTCATCTGTGTTTTCTTCTAAAAGTGTTAAACTACTAGGTTTTATGTGATCTATTTTATTCAGAATTTTTGCAAATTTGTTGTATTGATACTTGATTTTCCTGGCACCATGCATTTACATTATTATCCTTTATTTACCATATTGCCATCTTATCTTTGTCAAAAATCATGTCTCTGGCCGGGCACAGTGGCTCACACCTATAATCCCAGCACTTTAGGAGGCCGAGGCAGGTGGATCACGAGGTCAGGAAATCGAGACCATCCTGGCTAACACGGTGAAACCCCGTCTCTACTAAAAATACAAAAACTTAGCCTGGCGTGGTGGTTGGCGCCTGTAGTCCCAGCTACTCGAGAGGCTGAGCTAGGAGAATGGCGTGAACCTGGGAGGCGGAGCTTGCAGTGAGCCGAGATCGCGCCACTGCACTCCAGCCTGGGCGATAGAGCCAGACTCCGTCTCAAAAAAAAAAAAAAAAAGTCTCTAAATATTCTATTTCTGTAATTTTTACTCTGTTCCATCCATTTACTTCTGTCTTTATGCTAATACCTCAGGGTCCTGACTAATGTAGAGTTAGTATTAATCTTTATTAAAAAATAGCCCTTTTTTCTTTTTTTACAAAGTTTTACGACTATTTTATTTTTCTGAATTTCCATAAAAATGATTAGAATAAATTTATTTTTACATAAAAGAGTTCTGTAATTTTTATTGGGATTATATAAAATATTTAGATCAATTTGGGAAGAACTGGCATTAAAAATTTTGAGATTTCCAAGATATGAGCATGACATATCTCTCCATTGGTTCTGGTGTACATACAGTACACATCATTTGTTACATTTGCCACTACATAGGTTATACTTTTGTTGTTTATAATTTTTACTTTTTAATTTTTAATATCTAGTTGACATTTCTGTACATAAACAAAATTTATCTTGTATACTGCAAACATGCTAGAAACATTAGTTCTATTAGTTTTTTAAAAAATTTCATTCGGTTTTCTTTTTTGTTGACAAACATGCTATTTTTTAATAAAAAGTATTTTACTTTTCCTGTTAACTGTTATTCTTCATTTGGCTACGTAAAATATTAAATAGATGTAATGAGGCACGCGGATGGTCTGTCTTGTCTTTCCATAACCTTTGGGGAAAAGAGTTTGGTCATTCACTTTGTAATGATGTATAATGTAAGCTTCAGGGTTTCCTTCAATGTCCTCTACTGAATTTAGACAGTTACCTTCTGTTGCTACATTACTTAGATTTTTGTTTTCTTTTTTCTTTTTTTAGCAAGAAAAGGTGTTAGATGCAGGAATAGAAAACCAAATACCGCATTTTCTCAATTATAAGTGGGAGCTGAATAATAAGAACTTATGAACACAAAGAAGGAAACAACAGACCCTAAGGTCTACTTGAGGAGGAGGGCAGGAGGAGGCAGAGGAGCAGAAAAGATAGCTACTGAATACTGGGCTTAATACTTGGGTGATAAAAATAATATGAACAAAAAACCCCCGTGGCATGTGTTTACTTATGTAACAAACCTTCACACGTACCCCAAAACCTAAAAAGTTAAAAAGAAAAAACGAAGAGATGTTATATTCTATCACATGATTTTCTCATTTGTTAAAGCAATTGTATGATTTTTTAAATGTTTTTTATGTGTAAATATTTTGATTTTTTTAATTTTAAACCCACTTTGCATTCCTAGAATAAATTCTAAGTGGTCATGATATATTGTCCATTTATATTTATGCTATCAATTTCTGCTTTTTAAAAATTAGTTGCAGATGAGATATTTCTTTCCATTTATTTCTTTGAACCTATTTGTGTCTTTATATGTGAAGTGATTTTTTGTAGGGATAATACAGTTGTGTCTAATTTTTTCATCTAATCCGATCATCTCTAATTTTTAACTTGGACATTGGCAACACATATTTTTGTGTTATTGATGACATGGTTAGGTTTAAAATTATGATCTTGTTATTTTTTTCTATCTGTATTATCTTGGTTTTGTTCAATTTTATTTTTTGTTGTCATTAAATTATGTAAATCTAATATATAGCTTTGTAGAGTTTTTTCATTCTTTTTTTTTTTTTTTTTTTTTTTTTTTTTAAGATAGGGTCTGACTCTGTCACCCAGGTTGGAGTGCAGGATGCGATCTCGGCTTACTGCAGCCTCCACTTCTCAGGCTCAAGGAATCCTCCCACCTCAGCCTCTGAACAGGTGGGACCATAGGTGTGCACCACCACGACCGGTTGATTTTTTGTATTTTTCATAGAGACCAGGTTTTGCTATGTTGCCCAGGCTGGTCTCAAACTCCTGAACGCAAGTGATCTGCCTGCCTTGACCTCCCAAAGTGCTAGGATTACAGGTGTGAGCCACCGCACCTGGCCTATAGCTTTATGTTCTTTTTCTTATTAATTTGTTATAACTGTTTTTCTCTTTAGTGGTGACTTTAAATTTTAGGCTATATGGGGATACAGAAGTATCAAAGTTGAGATCCAGATTGCTGCAATAAAGCAAATATCACAAAACTGAGTTGCACACATTTCTTGGTTTCCCAACAAAAATAAATATTATTTTTATACTATACCATATTAATTGTACAGTAACATTATGTCTTAAAAAACAACATACATACCTTTATTAAAAATATTTTATTGCTAAAAAATGTCATACTGATCTGAGCCATCAGTGAGTGGTAATCCTTTTGTTGGTGGAGGGTCTTGCCTCTATGTTAATGGCTGCTTACTGATTATACTGATAATTGTTGAAGTTTAGGCTGGCTCTGGTAAATTTTTAAAATAGGAAAGCAATACATTTTGCTTCAAACCTAGCCATTGCTTTAACAATCAAGTTTCTGTAGTATTCCAAATACTTTGTTGTCATTTTTAAGATGTTCATAGAATCTTCACAACAAGTAGTTTCCATCTCAAGAAATTTTCTTTGCTCATCTATGAAAACAACTCCTCATCCGTTGAGTTTAATCAGGGGATTACAGTAGTTCAGACACATCTTCAGGGTTCTCTTCTAGTTCTAGTTCTCTTGCTATTTCCATCACATTTGAAGTTACTTTTTCCACTAAGTCTTGAACTACTGAAAGTCACTCCTGAGGTTTGGAATCAACTTCTTTCAAATCGTTCACGTTATTTTGACTTTCACCCATGAATCACATATGTTCTTAATGGCATCTAGAACTGACATAGGATTTTTCTCAGCCCCTTTGCTTGACTTGCAGCAGGGGGCACCCTGTACACTTGGCCTGCTGCGCTCAGCCCTTTGCAGAAGGGAGCACATGAGTTAGCGAGTGTGGGGTTTGTCTGGCCACCCTGAGTGCCAACACAGGAGCAAGCTACGTGTGGTGCCTGTGGCCAGGCCAGGCATGTCACCCTGAGGAGAAGGCAGTGGTGCCCAGAGAGGGTGTTAGTGTGCTAATTAGCTCCTTTAGTTACACTGTCCACAGCCTAACAGATGACAGGGTGTTCGCAGCTGAGTCGGTCTCTTGCCCCATCATGTGGAGTGGCTGCCCTACGCTGGTGAGGACAAAGGGCCACTGTTAGAACCTTTCTCGCTACCTCCACTTGATGGGTCCCAAGGTCTTGCCCAGTATCCAGGAAGAATGAGGTCAAACTGACGATTGAAGGATGATGAGAGTGGAGAATTTTACTGAGCAACAAAAACAGCTCTCAGCAGAGAGCGAGTTGAAGAGGAGATGGGAAGGTCAGGTCGTCTTCCCTGAAGTCAGACTGTCTCTCCCCAATGTCAGATTGTCTCTCCCTGAAGTCAGATAGTTTCTGTCAGTGTGGCTGAGTCTGGGGTTTTTATAGGATCAGGATGGGGAAAAGGGGGGCTGTAAGTAGTATTGGAAAAGGCAACATTTGATTGGTTAAAAGGCATTATTCAGAAAGACCCAATAAGGAAAGAGAAGCCAAACAGAATAGAAGTTCTCACTCTGAGCTGTGGGTTTCAGGCTGCTTTTGGCTTGAAAGTGGGGTTTCACTGAGGATCTACCTGGGTCTGCCTAGGATTTCTCTGCCTTCTGAATCTTTTAGAATGATTAATTTTTTCCAAAGGTATTCAATTTACTTTGCTCGGATCCATCAGAGGAATAACAATCTATATCAGCTATAGCCTTAGAAAATGTATTTGTAAAAGTATTATGAAATGTACTAAAACTGAGAGACTAGCAAGACTTCTTATTTGAGAGCATTTACTCGTGAGTATTATCATGCAAATTTTGATGTGTATTTTACAGATTAGTTCTATTTAATAGCAAATGTCATTTACTTTATGAATGCAAAGTCATACAGAAATCCTTGCTGAAAATTGCAATGCATCCTAAAAATTAATTTACTTTAAGATTAGGGTAAATTTATCCCTAAATATCTAGAAATATAATTTGTTTATTTTAATATAGAGCAAGAAAGGCAAAGAAAGAAACAGAGGCTGAGAGAAACTCAGAGATAAGTAAGTGTGAGTGATGCAACCGTACTAAGGGAAGTCAGGGGGAAAACAGTGAATTTGTCTATCTGGTAAAATAAAATTCCAGTATAGTAAGAAGTTTATGAAAGATATAACTTCAAAGCCAGTTGGAGAGAAAAAAGAAACATTAGCACTGTAAAAATCTATTTGTTACTAGGGCTTTAAAACTTCTAAAAGTATTCTTACTATAATTATTTTACATATATGAATATTTTTTAAATCGAAAAAATATTGAAGAGGGTGTGGTCTTATAATTATGCTATAAACATATATTTGCAGACATACTTAGAAAAATTTGTAATCATAACATCCAAATACATTGAGTTGGAACTAATAATAGAACATATGCTATGATCTACTTAACAATGTAAGTATTTCATCTCAAAGTAGCAATAAAATACATTCAAACATTTGCAAAAGCTTTAGCATGCCTAGTAGCTGTAGTGAAATATCTTGTCATCAGCAGTGAACTAATGGCCACTTTATTTTGAACCTTACGTGCTAAAGGCAAAATACTTGCCAGATTTGTCCTCTTTAATTTAAGTTTAATGGTTACTTGTAGCTGGAAGCTAGCCGCTGCTAATGAATGAAACTCAACCAAATTAACACCTGACCTTTTTTCTGCATTATTTATTTTTTACTTTCATATCTAGCCAACTGCCTGACAGTCACAATGAAATGGGAAAAATAATACTTGCAAAGTTACTTATTGAGAAAAAGTCTTAATCTGTAAATATTTAGGAATTTTTACACTTACATGAAAAGATGCACCTCCTTTTTTGCATAAAATGTAAACATAAATACTATTTGAATCACGAAAAAGAGGAAAATGATTTTAAAGAGTCAACAGGAATAATATTTTATTTGGACAAGGTCATTACAATTGTTCTCCTATTCACTATAAGTAAAAGTTAAAAGCAAATACTTCCATGTAAGATAATATAATTATTTATTAAAGAGAAAATGTATAAGAATTTCATGAGTAGATAAATTTCTTTAAAATGTACAAAGTTGTCCATGTATTATCAACATGTTAATTTGTAAAATATATATTTGAAGACAAATCCTAAGCAAATGCATTAGAAAATGGTTTATTACTGTTACATTAAAAAATCATAAAATGTTAAGCCAATTTAAATTTTTGCATCACTGTGAGGCTTGTGCCTAAAACACATTTTACTTATTATATAAGCATTAACAACATATTTCCTACAGTTATTAATAAGACCTCCAAAAAATTTGAACATGCAATTATATAATGGTATACACAAAAGGAAAGAAGTTTCTCAGTAGAGGAGAAACACACCTATTTACTTTTCTTATTTTACCAATTTTGAGTGATTTCTTAAACTTGTACACTAGAATTTTTCTATTTATAAATGTAAAGCTTTACAACATAATTATGTCCAAGAATGCTATATAGGAAGCTATAATTTCTATCCCACGACATGAGTAGTAATACCCAAAGAGCAAATAAAAATACATTTTAAAAGCATATATTTTAATCAATTGATATGTGGAGCATTTAGATTTCAAATGACTATGATATTCAGAATGGCTATTTCAAATGAGATGCACTATTTATGCTTTAGCAAGCAATTACATGCATTTTTGAAATAAATAAAAACCTTTAAACATTCAATAAAAAATAGTAGATATAAAAAACAAATAAAATCATAGAACTAAAAATAAAATAAAGAAAATTAAAAACTCATTGTACAGACTCAATAGTATATTCGAAACAACTTAGTAAATACTCAAGGAACAAAAGCAGATCAATAAAAATTACTCAACCTGAACAAGAAAGAGAAAATAGAAAGAAAAATATAATCTCATGATTTTATAAGATAATAAGAAATACCTATTATTTATGTCTTCAGAGTTTTAGGAGAAAAAGAGAAAAAGTAAAGAGCTTAAAAATTTTTCAACAAGTTAATAGCTAAAAATTTACAAATTTTGTGAAAAGCATGAGCAGACAAGAAAGAGAGCAAACCCAAACAGGACAAATTCAAAGGCATCCACACAGAGACACATCCTAACAAAAGGGGTGAATATTGGGGAAAAAAAAGGGGGGGGGGAAGAAAGAAAAAAAAAAGTGATCTCATTAGGAGAGAAAAGATGCATTACATATGAAAGAGGAATGATTCGTTTGATAAAATTTCTCATCTGAAAGCATGCAGGCCAAAAGAAAGTGACATATACTGTTTTCAAGTTCAAAAAAAAAAAAAACAAAAAAAGAACTGCCAACCCAAAATTTTATGTTATATATACAGATGGTGCTCATCTTAGGATGATTAGACTTGCAAATTTTTGACTTTACAATAATGTGAAAGCAGTACAGATTCAGTAGAAATCATACTTTGAGTACCCAAACAACCATTCTGTTTTTTACTTTCAGTACAGCATTCAATATGGTACATGAAATATTCAACAGTTAATTATAAAATAGACTTTGTGTTAGATAATTTGGCAAACTATAGATTAATGTATTCTTAGCTCATGTAAGTTAGGGTAGGCTAAACTATGATGTTAAGTAGGTTGAGTGTATTAAATACAGTTTCAATTACAGTAAGTTTATTGGAATGTAACCCCATCATAAGTAGAGGGGCATACATATCGATACAAACACACACACACACACAAACACATACCCATCAACATCAACATGGAAGGGAAAATAAGGACATTCTCAATTTATTAAAACTAAGATCTTTGGCACTAGCAGACTTACCCTTAAAGAATAGCTAAAAGATGTTTTACAAATAAAAATGAAACTGGAACAAAATGCTATGGTATTTTAGGAAGTGCAAAGAATAAGTGAATTGGTTAAAATATAAATACAAGTGTACACTATCCTTATTATAAGTTTTAAAATTACAATTGGTGAGGGAGGTAAAAGTGCAGATTAATCTAATATGTTCTCAATGTTAGTGGAGAAAATTCTTAAAAACACAATGTATTTTTAAAAATTTATGTTTAGAATGTGGTAAGCTATATTTATATATTTTAATAACTAGAGAACCCAGAAAAGAAATTTTAAAAATGCAAAAACCCTTCCATCTAAGATCTGGAACACAAAAAGAATGCCCACTTTCACTGTTATTCAATATAGTACTTGAAGTCCTAGCTAGGGTAATTAGGCAAGAGAAAGAAATAAAGGGCAACCAAATTTGAAAGCAAGAAGTGAAATTATCCTTGTTTGCAGATGACATGATCTTATTTTTGGAAAAACCTAAAAAGTCACCAAAAAACTATTAGAACTGATAAACAAATTTGGTAAATTTTTAGGATATACAATCAGTATGCAAAAATTGCTACCATTTCTATATGTCAATAGTGAATAATCTGAAAAAGAAATAAGAAAGTAATCCCATTTATAATAGCCACAAATAAAATTAAATATCTATAAAGTAACTAAATAAGTGGAATATCTTTACAATGGAAATTATAAAACATTAAAAAATTGAAGAGGACACACACACACAAAATGGAAAGATATTTTATGTTCATGAGTTGAAGACTCAAGATTGTTAAAATGTGCATATCACTCAAAGCAATCTACCGATTCAATGCAATCCCTATCAAAATATAAATTGACATTATTCACAAAAAGAGAAAATGTAGTCTTAAAATATATATGGAACCACAAAAGACCCAGAATAGCCTATCCTAAGAAAAAAGAACAAAACTGGAGGAATCACATTACCTGACCTCAAATTATACTGCAGAGCTACAGTAACCAAAGCAGCATGGTACTGGCATTAAAATGGACACATAGACCAATAAAACAGAATAGACAACCCATAAACAAATCCACACACCTATAGTGAACTCATTTTTGACAAAGGTGCCAACAACATACACTAGGGAAAAGACAGTCTCTTCTATAAATGATTCTGGAAAAACTGGGTATCCAAATGCAGAGGAATGAAACTAGACCCCTATCTCGCATCACATACAAAAATCAAATGAAAATTGGTTAAAGACTTACATCGAAGACCTCAAACCATGAAACCACTAGAAGAAAACACTGGAGGAACTCTCCAGGACATTCGCTTGGACAAAAATTTCTTGAGCAATACCCTGCAAGCACAGGCAATCAAAACAAAAATGGATAAGTGGGGTCACATCAAGTTAAAAAGATTCTGCACAGCAATGGAAACAATCAGCAAAGTAGAGAGACAACCCACAGAATAGGAGAAAACATTTGCAAACTACTCATCTGACAAGAGATTAATAACCAAAATATAAAAGGAGCTCATACGACTCTATAGGAAAATATCTAATAATATGATCAATAATTAAGCAAGAGATTTGAATAGACATTTCTCAAAAGAAGACACATATGGCAAATAGGCATATAAAAAGTTGCTCAGCATCATGGATCATCAGGGAAATGCAAATCAAAACTACAATGAGATATTATCTCACCGCATTTAAAATGTTTTGTTGTTGTTGTTGTTTTCCAAAAGACAGGCAATGACACATGCTGGGGCGGAGAAAAGGGAGTCCTTGTACACTGCTGGTGGGAGTGTAAATTAGTATAGTCACTAGGGAGAACAGTTTAGCAGTTCCTTGAAGAACTAAAAATGAAGCTACCATATGATTCAGCAATTCTACTGCTGAGTATATACCCAAAAGAAGGTAAATCAGAGTATCAAAGAGATATCTATACTCCCATGTTTATTGCAGCACTATTCACAATCGCTAAGATTTGGAAGCAACCGAAGTGTCCATCAATGGATGAATAAAGAAAGAAAATGTGGTACATATACATAATGGAATACTACTCAGCTGTAAAAAAGAATGATATCCTGTCATTTGTAACAACATGGATGGAACTGGAGATCATTATGTCAAGTGAAATAAGCCAGGCACAGAAAGACAAACATCACATAGTCTCACTTATTTGTGAGATGGAAAAATCAAAACAATTGACCACAATAGAAAGTAGAAAAATGGTTACCAGAGGCTGGGAATGATAGTGGGGGATAGTGGAGGTGTGGGGCTGTTTAATGGGTATTATAAAAATAGAAAGAATGAACTAGACCTTGTATTTGATAGCACAACATGGAGACTATAGTCGATAATAATGTAATTGTACATATTAAAACAACTAGGCTAGGCATGGTGGCTCATGCCTGTAATCCTAGCACTTTGGGAGGACAAGGCGGGCAGATCACTTGAGGTCAGGAGTTCGAGACCAGCCTGGCCAACATGGTGAAACCCTATCTCTACCAAAGAATACAAAAATTAGTGGGATGTGGTGGCAGACACCTGTAGTCCCAGCTACTCAGGAAGCTGAGTTGGGAGAATTGCTTGAACCCAGGAGGCAGAGGTTGCAGTGACTTAAGATTGCACCACTCCACTCCAGCCTGAGGGACAGAGTGACACCCTGTCTAATAAATAAATAAATAAATAAATAAAACAACTAAAAGAGTATAATAGATTGTTTATAACTCAAAGGATAAATGCTTGAGGGGATGGAAACCCTCACTTTCCATGATGTGATTTTTTTTTTTTTTTTTGAGGCGGAGTCTCGCTCTGTTGCCCAGGCTGGAGTTCAGAGGCACAATCTCGGCTCACTGTAAGCTCTGCCTCCTGATTTCACGCCATTCTCCTGCCTCAGCCTCACGAGTAGCTGGGACTAAAGGCGCCCGCCACCACGCCCGGGTAATTTTTTGTATTTTTAATAGAGACGGGGTTTCACCGTGTTAGCCAGGATGGTCTCGATCTCCTGACCTCGTGATCTGCCTGCCTCAGACTCCCGAAGTGCTGGGTGGGATTACAGGCTTGAGTCAACATGCCCGGCCTTCCATGATGTGATTTTTATGCATTGCATGCCTGTATTGAAATATCTCTTATATCTCAGAAATATAAATACATGCTATGTACCCACAAAAATTAAGAAATTTTTAAAAATGCAAAGATGTACTAAAAAGCACTGTAGACACATTAAAAGGTATATCTAAACATGTTGAAGCAGCCTACAGAAAGGCAAGAAAAAATAGAAACGAAATACATGTGGAAGCAAAAACAAATATTATCCATCTTAAGCCTAAACATATCAATAATTACTTTATGTAAATAGTCAGAATGTATCATTCAAAAGAGTGAGACTGGCAGAATTCATAAAGGAAAACAAACCAAAACTATGACCCAACTTTATGTTGTCCTTAATTGCAGCTCACTTGAAATATAGTAGTATAGGAAGATTGAAGTAAAAAGATGAAAAAATATATAGTATATAAACATTATATTTTTAAAAGTAGGAGTGGCTAAATTAACGTCACATAAAGCAGACCACAAAACAAATAAAAGTATAAGAAGCAGAGCAGGACATTACATAATAACATGATGAATAAGGAAAAAGAGGTAGCTTCAAAATGTAAAAAGCACTAACAAAGGCCGGGCGTGGTGGCTCACGCCTGTAATCCCCGCACTTTGGGAGGCCAAGGCAGGTGGATCACCTGAAGTCAGGAGTTCAACACCAGCCTGGTCAACATAGTGAAACCCCGTCTCTAGTAATAGTATTAAAAAAAACTAGCCTGGCATGGTGGTGGGCACCTGTAATCCCAGCTACTCGGGAAGCTGAGGCAGGAGAACTGCTTGAACCCAGGAGACGGAGGTTGCAGTGAGCCGACACAGTGCAACTGCACTCCAGCCTCGGTGACAGAGTGAGACTCTGTCTAAAAAAAAGAAAAAAGGACTAACAAAAGGGGAAATCAACAATTACTCTTGGGGACTTCAATACCCCTTTATTAATATCATCAACAATTTATCAACTAAGATGATAGAAGAACTGAAAAACAATATCAACCAAATAAATTGAAAAAGAAAAAGAAAGTAGAAAAAATTTATCTTCCTCAGTCTTAAGGTTTAATGTATAGGTGTAGTAACTGGTAGATGGGTAGCGTATAGTTTATCATAGTGTATCACTGGCAGATGGATAGACACATAGATAACTGGAACGGAGAACCTGAAAATAGAGCTGCACAAATTTGCCCGACTAATTTTTGAAAAATGAGCCAAAGCAATACAATGGAGGAAGGATAATCTTTCCAGTAAATGATGCTAGAACAATTGGATACCCATAGATTAAACATGGAAAAAAAAAAAAGAAACTTTGTCTTAAACTCAACACTATGCAAATTTACTTGAAAAGTGAATTATAAATTTAATTGGAAAATATAGAAAAATAAAACTTTTAGAAGAACACATAGGATAATACCTTCAGGATCTATGAATAAGCAAAGACATCTTACACATGACACCATATGCACAAACCAAAACAAAATTATGACCTATTCAAAAATGTTTTAAAATAGCACTGTGAATTGTCCATTAGTAGAATAAAATGACAGGCTACTGACTAGAAGAAAACATCTGCAATCCGAATACTTGACAAAGATAAACCCAAAATATGTAAAGAACTCTCAAATCTCAACTGAATAGAAATGAACAATTCAAACAGAAAATAAGCAAAGAATGTGAACAGCAATTTTACCACAGAAAATATACAGATGTGAAATAAGCACATGAAAATACATTCAACAGCATTAACCCTTCAGGAAATACATTTTAAAAACTACAGTTGAGATATTACTAATTATCTAATAGATTAGCTGAAAAAAAATTACAGGATTATGGTAGGCAGAATAATGCCCCTCAGAGGTACTTGTGACCTGATCTCCAAAGCCTGCAAAAGTGTTACCTTGCGTGGAAAAGGGACTGGGTAGATGTGATTAAGGGTATGGACTTTGAGATGGGATAATTGCCCTGTTTTATCTGGGTGGGTGAAATGTAATCTCATGAGTACTTAGAAGAGTTGTTCATGGCTGGGCTAGAAAGAAATGTGATGAAGGAAGAAAAATCAGAGATATGAGATGTTGCTGTCTTGGAAGATGGAAGAAGAGGAACACAAGCTAAGGTATAAGGGCAGCCTCTTAGAAGCTGAAAAAGGCAGGGAAACAAATTCGCTCCTAAATCCTCAGAGAGGAATGCAGCTGTGCTGACATACTGGATTAAAGCAGTGAGACCTGTGTCAGAATTCTGCCCCACAGAACCGTAAGATGCAAAATGTGTGTTGTTTTAAGCTACTCAGTTTGGGGTAATTTTTATATAAAAAAACAGATCATAGCTACAGTGTAACATTCATGTTTATCCCAATAAGATATCAGCTAATACCCTACTACCACAAAAAATTTCCAGAATATTTTCAGAGAGAGAGAGAGAGATTGAGAGAAAGACTGAGACAGAGAACCCCAAAGGAATATAATTGTAAATATTACAGAATTAAAATGGTAACTCTTTAATATTTTTCAATATTTACATTTAGTATCAGTACAAATATTATGTCTTTGTGTTACTACAGCAATAATTATTTTACCACCACCAAATTAAAAGGATCAAGTAGACACATTTTCCTAAACTGTGAAATACAGCCCCTTAAAATTTTATGAATAGAACTGAATTTTATTTCCAAATACAGTTTTTGTTTTAAATGTATTAACACAAAAATTACCTCAAACATACTTTCTCAAAATATAGTACACATGTATTTTCATAGTGACATAAAAAGTGTATATTTTCTTGTCCATATGAATTTTTTATTTTACCATTTCTAGCAACTGCTTGAAAACTTTGACAAGCCTGAAAAATAAGAAAAGATCATTTATGAAAGTTCCAGTTTGCACAGAAGAAACACAACACTCACATTTTCAAACTCCCTCTATCTTTAAAGCCATTCAAGCCACATTGTGTTTTTAAGCTAATAATATTTATGAAACTCTCACTACCTTGAATAGAGCACATTGTTCTACATTTCCTACATTTCCATTTACATCTATGTACATTAAAATTTCTAAGATGATTTGATTTTCCATTTTACACATGTAATTATTAATTTAATCATCTGATGTTAAAAGCGTGCTAGCGATTTTTATTTAATCTGTTGCCTTCCCAAGTCCTGAACATATAGCTGTCTTTTCCACTGTGTTTGGGCATCATTAACTTCAGTGTCAAATTAGAATCTGAACTGGAGTTGGTCATAGCTACCATTTATGTTGAGTATTTCTCTCACTATGTCTTATTCCTCTAAGTGATCTTCAACCCTCAAAGGGCCTCAATCAAGATATAATTTTCAATGTCTTGCTTCTTTCTCATTGCTGTTGGTTTTTAGCCTTTTCTCTGCCCTGTAGCATCTCAGCTTCCAGCTATAACTTATTGCCAAAAGCATTAAAATAGGGATCATAAGACTGACAAAAAGAACTTTTTGTGGCAATAAGATATGAAATTATAAACAAGACCTACAGCCATGTCAGTGAAGGATTAAATCATGCACCCCTGGCACTTAAAGAACAAACTATGTTCTAACTGCCACAAGGTTTCTCAGTTTCTCTAGCAGCTGAGCAAGCATGGGTCTTGAGATAAACAATATTGCAACAATTGTGGCTCACTTTCCACCAGACACTGACTAACTCACCCCACGCAACCCATCCCATCCCACAAGCCATAAAGACACCTTCGATTGGACAAGAGACTGACTTCAGTAGCTTTCTCCAGATAAAAGAGCACTGACCATGGAGTGGTTCTGGCAGGTATCAAGATTGTGCACTGAGTGCATTTGTATCCTCTGCTTCACCTTTTGATGTATAGGGCCTAATTGGAGTACATGCAAATATTAAGTCTCCACCCCAAACTGAAAATGGGACATATGTAGCATGCATGTTTGCTTACTACACATGTGTGCCTCCACCACTTCATGAATATTCATAGCTCCTCCCATAGCCTATTAAATATGTATAACTAGCCAATCTGCTTGGTATAAAATTCTGTTCCATCTTTCTCTCCCTTGAAGTGCCTGCTTTAGGCTTCTAACAGAGGCTACGGTTCCCAGCCTGTTAGGATGTCTGGCGGGAAAACTGCAATCCTTCTTAGGAAATAAGACTCTCTTTTCCAAATGTATAGGTCTCATAATTTTAACTTAACACAAGAGAGCAAATGACATAGTGATGTATAAGCAGATCATGTAAGACAGATACAATACCAAAGGGAAAGAAACAGCTGGAAGTTTTAGTTGTAATTAATAAATATTAGAACCATTATTTTTATTCTCATATTTAATGGGAATCATCTCTTTGGAAGTGATCATCAAGCCTCAGTGGGGTTGCTGTTTTCCTTGTACCTGACATCTCCATTTTATTTAAGCCCTTTTCTTTGACAGTAAAGTTAGATTATCCTTTCCTCCAAGTTGTTTCTTCATATCATGTTTCTCTTTTGTTCCTCTTCATATCAGCTGTCCATCCTATTCCACCTGTCCTTAGTATCAGGCTCAAGCTGTTTCTAACCATGCATCCAAGTACATGCCTAGAATCCCTGCTTTTGTCTCATCTGTGAGAAGGGAGTCAATATTTTCCAAGTGCCCTCCATAGTAAAATGTTAACTCTCTTGATTATATAATAACCTTGGTTATAGAATCTATCACTTTATTGGAAATAGTGCCAGGAGTACAAAAATCTTTTTAAACAATAATGAAAAATCGGGAAGATATTGAAATAAGAGAATATTGATATGCTTCTTCATTTTTACTTTTATTAATTAAAAACAATTACAAATATTTATTAGACATCATGTTCACTTAATAAGCATTTTCTCTTTTCTTACAACAAGCATTTTGAGAGCAATAGAGTTATTAGAAAAAATTGCTGATAGGAAAATTAAAACTTAAAGGATCAATGCCTAAAATCACACAGCCCAAATATGTGGACTATGTATCCAGGTACTATAATTCTACAGGTGACTTTTTTTAAAATAAAATATGTCATTATGCTTGTTGCTACATTATATACAGCACAGTTTAAAATTTGTCACTTTAAATATAATTAAAAACTATACTAGATATATAAAGCCATTACAGAGTTGTGACATGAATTTAAAATCATAATTTTAATGTTGACTCTGTTGCTTACTAGCTATACAACATGAATCAAGTCGTTTAAGTCCAATATATTTGAAATTACATACCAGTAAAAAAAAGTTTGAGCCTTAATACTAGACAACATGCTCCTCCAGTTGAAATTCTAATGATTGTATAATTTTACATTTATTTGTAAAAAGGTCAGTGATAAAATGATACAATTTCTAAAAACTGCTTAAATATAAATTTTGCCTATTTATAATATTGTTTCATATAAATGTTGGCTTCCTTATTATAAATAGGTAAATTGGAGAAGACTATTTCTTAGACATGTTAACATTATTGCAAACCATGATATTCTTTTTTTATACTTACATTATGTTAGTAAGTCTCAATAAAAGTTGCTTACAAAGTCAAAATATTGTCTTTAGACAACAAAAATATTTGCTCCAAAAGTGAAATATCTTCTTCATTGTTAGTGAAACATAAACAAGATGGTTATTAAATCCTGAACCTTTTGTTTAATATTCTTGCTAGTTCGTATTGAGTGACTGTATTGTGAAAAGCACAATCTAGGCTTCGGTGCTTTTGTAATTTTATGTATGGTTACTTTTGAATATTTAATGACAAAAGCTCCAAAGTATGAACTTTCTAAGGACAATATTAAAAAGGTATAGCTTTGACTTTGTTATTCTGTCATGTCAGATAACATGAAATCCTAAAAAGTAAAATTTATAGTTTCACATCTGAAATAACAGAGTACTCAGATGAGGAAAGTTTCTTTTCAATTGCTTATGAGAAAGTGGAAGCTCAAAGAAATGGATGTCCTATGCTTAAGCGGAAGGGAGATACTAGAATTACAAATCTACCAAGGATATGTAAACATGAAGGCTAGGGAGGCCTATTCTTTCCTTTTAAAGTTCTTAGGCACTAACTTTACCATAAAATGTAGGCAAATTCAATAGCATCAATAAGCAAATTAATAATAATGGATGACTGTTGTAACCCACTTGGGTTCCTCCATTAATGTGGAGAGCTGAAACCTCTGTGAAGCAGTTCACATCTGAGAAAGTCTCACTAATGTTTTATAGAATGAAAAAAATGTTTTTTCCAGAGAAGACTGTTGCAAGGAAAAAGTTTTAAAAAAATTTTTTAAATGATGCAGAAAGTTAGTGGTACAAAGAGTATTTTTGGAGAAAGGCATAATGGTAGTAAAATAATCATTTAAAAAATCTTTGGAGTTGAGGATTAAAAGGTAATGTTAACTGAGGCAAATATCCAAGTAAAAATCCAAAGTGATGTAAGAATATGTACATAATGAATCTATGTATTTAACAACAAACAAAAATCTTTGGTCCTACTCCATTAAATTTCCTCTAATGTAATTGCTTTAATAAAGGACATATAAGGTTTGCTCTTCCTGAATTCTCCCTCACCTTGTATCTCCTACACCTATCCCCCAACAGCTTACATCCTCCAGATATATCACATCTGATTCTAATTCTCATTCTACTGTCCCACTTTACATTTTAGATCTTACTTATAGTAGACATACTTTATTCAATTTATGCAGAAATCACTTTATCGTAAGAAAAGATGATGCACTCACTGGCTCAAGCAGAAAGGGAAGTGTTTTGGAGACGCACATATCTCAGGGAGTATAAGAAGAATGTGCTCAGTCAGCTTCATGAAGTGGTAGAATAAATGTCTGAAAACAACAAAGAATTAAAGTACACCCTTAGTCCAGTTAGATGTGTGGATTCAGGATCATTTACCAATGACAAGTTTCTGACTTCCCAGAAAGAAATTTACGTACTGGAAAGAAGAGACAACAAAATTTTCCCTTACACTCCTGAATTTTTTATTTCTAACTTCTATCCACCAGAATCAAGTGTCTCGAGGAAAGAGATAACTTTCATTTCTATATCCAAAATAAGAAGCATATATCAACCTTGCAGTAAATGAATTTTAAAATATTGATGATCAACAAATATATCAGTTTATGACTTCCCTAGATGCTCAAGCCTATAAAAAGAGATAAGCATTGTTGTGGTGGTATGTGTGTATGTACACATACATGCAAGTGTGTGTATTTGTATGTGAATTGTTTAGACAATGTAATTAAAAACAAAATCTCCTTCATATATATGTGTGTGTGTATATTATATATATATATGCAAGTGTGTGTACTTGTATGTGAATTGTTTAGACACTATAATTAAAAACAAAATCTCATTCCAAACCACAAAAGTAAAAGAGATAGAAACACTATTTTATTTTCAAATAAGCATTAAACCACAATGTGATGCGAATCACAGACAATTGCTAAGACACTTGCAAGGACAAAAAGATGTCTCAAACTTTTATAGAGCCAAGCAGATACAACCCAACACATACATGTTCTCCAAGATAAACAATAACTTGCCCTCAAGTAAGAGGATGTGACAGCACTATTTCTCACACACAGTTCATCCTAAATTCTCTTTGTAATTGAGGTGACCATCTGTGTTAGCTAATTCACTTTATCCAGAGAAGAAATAAATTTCCCATATCTGTGTGATAGGAGGTAGTTTTAGAGCAAGAAGTTAGGCTCTAGTTAGTTAATAGAAACTGGGAGATACAGTGCTATCTTCCTTAATGGAAACATTCAAGGAGATAGTTCTCAGGCCCTTGAGAAAGACATTCCTGGGTCATAAAGCTGACAAGAGCCTTATTCAGCTTTAAAAAAAATTTACATGCATTTCGAAGAAACAGTGAAATAATTTACAATGACAAGTTTTTTCAAGTAATTGCTGTGAAATAACGAGGGGGGAAAGTTTTTTCCTTTATTTTCAACAGGCAGAATTATGCTGCTTATTTTTAATTTGCATTTGCCCTCGCCTGTGTGTGTGTGTGTGTGTGTGTGTGTGTGTGTGTGTGTGTGCGCGCGCGCGCGCTCATGCGCATGTGTGTGTTTCTCCAGAGGGAAAGCAATCCATGTTTAACGTTTGTATTATATTGCTGAGAATACACTATAAAAAGGAATATATCATATCTCTTGGCACTTGGAGAATAATTTGAATCTTCAGAATAAAAGGTTTTCCTCAGTGTTAGGTGAATCTTAACTTTAAAGTCTATTACAAAACAATTTGTCCATTTACCATACTATTGCTTAAAGAAAATGAATTTCTTTCTACTATGAAAGGAAAATATCTTGGGCCACCAAAATTACTAAGCTAAAGGGAAAAGTCAAGCTGGGAACTGCTTAGGGCAAACCTGCCTTTCATTCTACTCAAAGACACCCCTCTGCTCACTGAGATAAACCCATATCTGAGAGCCTCCTTTGAAGAGGCTAATCAGAAACCTAAATGCATGCAACCATTTGTCTTTTATCCACCTAGGACCTGGAAGCTCCCTCCCACTTCCAGTCGTCCCACTTTCCAAAAGGAAGCAATGTTCATCTTACACATGTTGATTGATGTCTCATGTCTCCCTAAAATGGGTAGAGCCAAACTGTGCTCTGACCACCTTGGGCACATGTCATCAGGACCTCCTGAGGCTGTGTCACGGTGCGTGTCTTCAACCTTGGCAAAATAAACTTTCTAAATTAACTGAAACCTGTCTCAAATTTTCAAGGTTCACACCACATAATTTAAAAAATCTTTACTGTCAAAGACAAAGGATCTGATTAAAAAGGGATAATGAGGATAAAATACCTATTCAATCCTTTGACAATGGATTAAATATCTATTTTATGAAAAAAAAGGTACTAGACAACAAGCATGTTTTTAGCAACTGAAATCAAACAAAAAATTATTGAGGAATTTTCCTCAAATCTCTTTGCTGTCCCAAGACTAACTATAATCAAAGTGAAAAAGAAAAATGCTAATTAGCTTGCTATAGTTTAAAATATTTACAAATAAGTCATTCACATGTATTGGTTATAGTGTCAATATGTTTCCTGGTAAATCTCATAATAGCAAGCCACTGTTTACACTTTTGTAGTCTGACACAAAGGAAAAATAAAATAAAGCCAAAATAGTTTTCTCAGACAGTAAATTGTTCTGCATTTGCAATATCAACAACAGATTTCCCATCCAATTTAAAGATATGTCAGTAAAATATATGTACTTACATATAGCTTTATTGTTGGATTTGCATGGCCTCAAGATCCTTGGAAAATTCTTTTGCTCTTGAATACATATTGGTCTAATTTAATATATGATATTTTTGAATATATATCTGTCTATGCTTCAAGGCCTAAGAACAGTGTTAGTTATTATTGTAATAAAAACAATATTCAAGTTGGAATACAATTTCTAAGATTTAAATTGCTTTGACACAGATAGAGATTTGTTGGCACAAGATTTTTATTTTACAGCACTTACAATTGTATATATCAAGAAGAGTAATATAGTCTGATGTTAAAATATTGTAAAATTCGTCAACTTCAAATATCTTGCTGCTTAAGTTCAATATTTCTCTTACATTGGCAAAATAGCTTAATAAATCATTCTTTTTTTTTTTTTTTTTTTTTTGAGACGGAGTCTTGCTCTGTCGCCCAGGCTGGAGTGCAGTGGCGGGATCTCGGCTCACTGCAAGCTCCGCCTCCCGGGTTCACGCCATTCTCCTGCCTCAGCCTCCCAAGTAGCTGGGACCACAGGCGCCCGCCACTACGCCCGGCTAATTTTTTGTATTTTTTAGTAGAGACGGGGTTTCACCGTTTTAGCCGGGATGGTCTCGATCTCCTGACCTCGTGATCCGCCCGCCTCGGCCTCCCAAAGTGCTGGGATTACAGGCGTGAGCCACCGCGCCCGGCCAATAAATCATTCTTAAATTAATAATTTGGTATTATGGGCTTTTCAGCTTCATATTTATTATTTAGAGAAACTTGACCATCCATATTTGAAAGGATCATAACTCATTTAATTAATTTAAAGATGAAAAAAATGAGGTGGAATCCTTTACTTGACTGGAGAATAGTCTCATGTTATCTATGATTGTTCTTTTTTATTTTTCTATAGATGCTTCAAGAAAAAGAGTTTATAACCTATCTTTAATACTTAAATATGACAATGTGTTTACTGTGTTTTTAGTCCTGCTTTATTTACACGCTGCCACTAAATAGTTTCAAAATAATTCTCAGTATTGAAAAAAATAATGTTAAACTAAATTGAAAAAAGCCGTCAGCCCCATTGACCTACTTAAATATGACAACGTGTTTACTGTGTTTTTAAGTCCTGCTTTATTTACACCCTGCCACTAAATAGTCTCAAAATAATTCTCAGTATTGAAAAAAATAATTTCAAACTAAATTGAAAATAGCTATCAGCCTCATTGACCTACTTAAATATGACGTGTTTACTGTGTTTTTTTTAGTCCTGCTTTATTTACACCCTGCCACTAAATGTCTCAAAATAATTCTCAGTATTGAAAAAAATGTCAGACTAAATTGAAAATAGCTATCGGCCTCACTGACCTTATATAATTATAATTGAATGATAGTAATACCATGTTGATAAATATTTGAAAATATTTGTCTATTATCATTTGACTATAAAATTATTATACTTAATTTTAAATGCTTGTTGGATTCATTCTAATTTATACTAATAGCAAATTTATCTGGATTTAAATACTGGCCATATTATATTTTCAAATATATTCTACATGTCCATAATGTTAATAATGCCCTGTAATTATTTCTCATATATAGATAAAAATATGATAACATTACACTTATTATACATGTGTTAAGAATTTCCTAGAGAAAATTCTATTTAGGTTCCACAGATTACACATTGCTACTTTAGTGTTTACATAAAGAAATTTGCCATGAGTTTTACAATATTGATGGCTATATAATGGCTTGTTATATTTATATGCAACATGCTTAGGTTTACACTTAATGAACTATAAGCAAAAAATACTGTCAATTTGTTTAAAAGACCCATTTTGTAATGACATAGCAATATTCCACTCCTGGTACCATTTTTCTGTATTAGTCCATTGTGGCACTGCTATGAAGACATATCTGAGACTGGGTAATTTATTTAAAAAAAGAAGCTTAATTAGCTCAAGATTCTGCAGGATGTACAGGAAGCACAGCTAGAGAGGCCTCAGGAAATAAAATCATGGTGGGAGGCCAAGAGGAAGGAGGCATGTCTTACATGGCTGGAGCAGGAGGAAGAGAATGAAGGGGGTGGTGCTATGCACTTTTAAACAACCAGATCTCATGAGAACTCTATCATGAGACAACACTTAGGGAGATGTTTCTAAACCCTTAGAAACCACCTCCATGATCCAATCACTTCCCACCAGGCCCCTCCCCCAACACTGAGGATTACAATGCAACATGAGATTTTGGTGAGACCATAGAGCCAAACCATATCGACAGTAACAAATATTTTTATTGAATTTAATTTCACATGTAAAACCAGAGAAATTATGTTATTTATGAAAGGCTGGGCAAATGGGTTAGAGTTTGAATTTGGATTAGAATCCTTCTTATTTCCAAATTAATTCTCCGGTCCACAAACTTCAAGAAATATAAGCATCATCTATGAAATGGAAATTCTGACGCCCATTTCTCAGAGATTCAGATTTTGTAATTCAGATTTTTGTCCTGGTAATCTACATTCTAAGAAGCACTCCATGGGTTTTAAAAACTAAACAAATACATGTTGAATTGCAACAATGCCTAATATAATGCCCTTTCTTCTTTATTCCTCTTCTTTGCATACATCTCGATGACCTGAAACCGTATTTGTCAATCCTACTTGTATATTAACTTACGAGAATACTACCAGGGTTCTGGTTTCAAGTAAAATGGAGTAAACACAGCTATCTTTCTCTCACCCACCAAATGCAGCTATTAAACCTGAAAATAATAAAATTTGAAATTATTCAGGTATTCTGAAAAGTAAATAGAAATAACAGCTTAGAAAAGAAGACAGGAATATAAAAATGATTAGCATATTTATTTAAAATTATTGTTCAGATTTATTTATATAATTTCCTCTAAAAAGATCAGAAATTACTTTTCTTATTGTTGATTATATTGGCTATATTTTAGCATTGAATTTCTTCATGAGCTTTGTCATTTTGGTTTACAAGTTCATTTTGATGGGAAGCTTTTTCTTTGAGAGGTAGGGGGATGGGGCTGTTTGTTTCCTGTTTTTCTCTTTCTCTCTGTGTAAAACTCTCACCATCTAATAATTTGTATTTCTGCCACTCATTCTGGGCTCACACAAGAGCACCAGGTTTGAAATCTTCTTTCAGCATTATTTGCCAGAAGTGACATTGAGGCTGTGTCAGATCTCATTATAAATTCAGTGGGTCTATAACTCAGTCCTGGAAAACCATACTGTGCTCTTATCTCCTTCTTCCCTTTCCCCAAAATCCAAAGCCATGTCTTTAAAATGTAAACAAATTCTATCCTTCATTTCTAATCTTTCATGAATCCTTTCAGATGTCTATCTTAAAAATAACTTCCTCGGATCAATAAAACATGTTCTGTTGTGTTTTAAAATTTGGATTAATTTCATTTACACCTCAGGAACCACAATCCCACTCACACTGGCTATTATGGACTTGGAAAACTGAGAGCTAAGATTTCAACCCAGCTCAACGTTTGTATTTTTGTTCTATTTCTGGTTCACAGAGGTAGTCCTCATTCATGTAAAATCAATTATACCTTTTGTTTTTCAGTTTTTATAAAACGTATCCTTCACTCCTACGTGTTCAATAATTAAATTTTCAAACATGAACTACTGCACTAAATTAACAATTAATATATATCATGGTTTCAGGAATTTTTTTTCTACTTCTTATGCTTTCTATAGGAGAAGCTATTTTGGAGAACAAATAATGCTCCTTCCACTCTTCTTTTCTTTTGGGATGGGTTTTTCTGGCACCAGAGAGGAATTTAATCCTACTCCAGCTGTCTACCACTTAGGAAAGGAAAAGACAATGTGGCTGATAAATCTATACTTTATTAGTGAGTTCAAGTTTGTGAGTTTGCATCATTTTATCCAATGATATTTTGCTCTCCAGAGCAAACACAGGAATAAATTTATGGGATTTTCTTAATTAAATCACAGCTGCGGAGTTAAATGGAAAAATACAAATTACACTTCAGTACAGCGGAGTATGAGAAAAAGTACCAAAAATGTAAATAGAAAAAACTAGAAATGTAAAAGAGAAAAAAAAATTAGGAAAATAATTAGCCAGAATTAAAAGTGAAGAAATATAACACATTAACATTTAAATAAAATAATAATAATGTTTAAGGGGTCTAGTACCAAAATGAATATTGGGTATCTTGAGAATATTGGTATATTAAGACCCTGAGATGATATTAAGGTTAGATTATATTATTTTCAATACATTATATGTCCCTCCCTCCCAAGATGCCTCTGTCTCCATCTGTTTGATGTCATCATTGGCCATGTGACATTTTGATCAGTCATCAATCATTTCCCTCTTCATCAATTCCACTATGGTTCCAAAAGGAACTGTTCCACTAACCTGGGTCCCTGAGTTAAGAGCCGAAGTAACCTGCTGTGGGTGTTATTGAGCAAAGAGTAACAGTTTAGTGTGGCTGGAGTGCAGGAAATGGGAGTGGAAGGAGGAGAACAAGGTGTCAAGGAGATAACAAGCTCCAATTCATGCAGAGCCTTGTAAGATGTAAACAATTTTCCTTTTATTTTGAATTTTAAAAAAGTCATTTCAACATCTTGAGGAGAGGAAACAATGTAATCTAATTTATAATTTTAAATGATTACTCTTATTAGGAAGTTTGGGACACATTACAATAGGAAACTGGAAAGAAATAAGAGATAATGGTGCTTGCACCAGAGTAGTAGCAGTGGAGAAATAAGGTTAGTTAGAGTCCGGATTGATCTGGAAAGTAAACAAAAGTTTTTGTTGATTTGCGTGTGAGTTATGAAAAGAAAAATGACGTGAATGTTCTTGGTATGAGCAATTAGAAAAGGATTGTCCACAAATTCATGCCCCATTGAAATGCTTTGCTAGTGTCACCAAAAACCTGCGTATGATTAAGTTCAATGGAATTTGTTAATTTCTTATTTTTTATTACCTTCCATCAGCTTTCATCCCTGTTTTCAACTCTTCCTGAAGTACTTTCTTACACTGTTTTCTGTGGACCGCATTCTCCAGGGTTTCTTCCTTTTTTTTTTTTTTTTTCTGTAGATATCTTTTGTTTCTTTTTAGGCTCATTCTCCTTATTCAATTCATAAATTTTTAACTTTTTCAAGACTACATTTGTATTCACTTACCACTTTCCACTGAACATTCTCTTTAAGGAATCTCATCCACAAACATGTCATTGAATGCTATTTATTTCCAGAGATTCCTAATCTTCTATCTCCTGTTCAGACTACATACAATAAAAACCTGGTTAAAAACTCTACTCTTGGCCTGGAGCAGTGGCTCATGCCTGTAGTCCTAACTCTTTGGGAGGCTGAGGCAGTGGATCACTTGAGATCAGGAGTTCGAGACCAGCCTGGCCAACATGGTGAAACCTTGTCTCTATGAAAAATACAAAAATTAGCCAGGCGTAGAGGCACGTGCCTGTAATCCCAGTTACTCAGGAGGCTGAGATGGGAGAATCACTTGAATCCAGAGGCAAGATGGCGCCACTGCACTCCAGCCTGGGGAACAGAGGGAGACTACATCAAAACAAACAAACAAACAAACAAACAAAAAATAGAAAAATACCTCTACTCTATGTTGAAGATGCCTAAAATCAATGTAACAAGAACAAACATACGTTTTTCTATTTACCCCTACCTTATAAAATTGGAAGCCTTTCAATTCAATGCAATACTAACCAGGAAAGTTACTATGCCAGAAAAATAATATTTATCCTTTTCTCCTTCCTCTTCTTCATCACTCGCTACTTATATACAGAATCTAGTCCATGATTCATACATACGGTTTCTGCAGCTCCTTTAAAAATGTGCCTCCTCTCGCTCAGAATGGTCACTTGTCTGGACTACTGCAGTAGCTCTTGACTGGGCCTTCAACATCCACTCTACTCTTCATTAATCAATATGATTATTTATTTTCAAATAAATACATTTTTGTAACATGTTTTAAAACTGCTTCATTATTGTTCTCCAAGTTTAGAAAAGAGTATTGTAAAGGCTGTGATATAATCTCTGCTACCCCATCCATCATTATTTCAAACCAACCTCACCATCACCCTCACTCTGTGGGCTTCAGTAAGACAGGACTTTCAGCAACTTGAATGCACTTTTTCATTCTAACAGCAAGGACATTGTATGTTCTGTGCTCTCTGTCTGAATCATGCTATCTGTTTACCCACAAATATTACATACGCTTCAAATTTCAACTCTGATTTGCTGGTAAAGCATGATGCTTTATAAAGAGCTTAGCATTACTTACAAGTTTACCGTATGTATTGAATTATCTGAATAATATGTTGTCAGTCCTAGGAGACTGTATATAATTTTGGTGACCATTATACTCTTTATACTGAACACAGTGACTGACATTGTGCACAGTATTTATTTAGAGTGACTTAATGTGATTTATATAGCTGTATGCTGCAGGAAATCAATAATTTCTTTCTTCAAACCTGTCAACAGGTATTACCTGTACATATTCAATTGTGTTCATTCTCATTAAACACATGACACACGCAGAAAAGGGACACATCCTTAATGTCAGGCTCTGAGGACAAGAATATAGAATATAGAATGATGCAGAACCATCGTTAAGAAGAAAATACGCTAATTAGGGAATTTCTAAATAATATAGGCCATTGTTCTTTTTAATTGTACCACTAATAGGTTAATACATAAATTGATTATTTATAAATAGAAATTAAATGATGTGTTTGTTTCTAAATTAAAAGGCATCAGAAGCAATATTTAACCAAATTAAGGTTAATTTTGTTATCTTGGAATATATCCATAAAAATAAAATGCATGCCATATAGAAAAGGAAAATGTTACAGAGTCTTAAAATCATTATTACAGCAAATTCAAATTAGTTTCATATTCAATTTAACATCATTGTAAAGGGAAGGAAGACTTTAATTAGTGGATTAGCAACTCTACTAAATTGGTGGGTTTTTTTTTTTTTTTTTTTGAGACGGAGTCTCGCTCTGTTGCCCAGGATGGAGTGCAGTGGCATGATCTCAGCTCACTGCAAGCTCTGCCTCCCGGGTTCACACCATTCTCCTGCCTCAGCCTCCTGAGTAGCTGAGACTACAGGCGCCCACCACCACACCCGGCTAATTTTTTTGTATTTTAGGTAGAGACGCGGTTTCACCGTGTTAGCCAGGATGGTCTTGAACTGCTGACCTTGTGATCCGCCCGCCTCGGCCTCCCAAAGTGCTGGGATTACAGGCGTGAGCCACCGCGCCTGGCCTAAATGGGTGGTTTTTAAAGAAATTACTAAATATGTAAAAGCAAAAGTCGAATCCTATCACCTTCTTAAAAAATACATTTTTATATTGCATTTTTTCTTCTAGGAAAATTCTTAGAATTATACGTACCATACAGAAAACAAGAACAAGCAAACGAAAAACCAGATAACACTTTATAATTATTGAAATAAAATAGTAGATGTCACATGCTCTTTATCACATGTCACTTTTATCTAGTACTTTTTAATGGGTCACTTTAAATGAGAAGTTCAGTATTATATTGCAAACTTAAATTGAAAGTATTACACTTCTCCAAATGAGAACCAGATAAATTGGGGCACATGTATATTAAGCAGCAAGTGTAGCAAAATTTTAATATTATTAATTTATGGTAACAAATTAAAAATAAGTTATCATAGAAAATATAGTGAAAGAGCTTAATGTATTTATTGAATATACAGTTTTCGCCTTGTTGCAAACTGTTCTGTTTCTTATGTTCTGAAATGTCAGTGGTATATATCGTATTTGGAAGAAATTTGTGCCTCCAAGTTTTTAGCACTGAAACCTTGCGGGACTTCTCTGCCTTGACTAGGAGCAAAACCCAGATACAGTAGCTGAAATGTGGCTCTACTTAGAAAGTCTAAAAGGAACAATTTTGTTCCACATATGTTTGGCACTTAACTTGTTTTGATGGGTTTCTCACATCCCAGTGAATTGTAGTCTTTCTTTTGGCAAATAAAAGATGCATGAAATCTGAATGCCTTAAATGCATATCGTTTATTTCCATTTAAAATACTTTCTCATTTTCTTTCAAAATCAAAACTACAGAAACTCAAATAAATTACAAATGTATAATATCATTGATAACTTGGAATATAAAAATCTGAAAAAGAGATAGATCTGGGCAACTTGATTTATGAGTCATTATGAAATCAATAAAATTGTGCATACATAGTTAGCTTTATTGAAATGCTCATAACATTATTTTCCACATATAAAAATATAATTATTGTAAAAGCATAAATGTTGATTTTTACATGTTCATATATATCCGTGCATGTACGACTGTGTAAACATATTAATCTATTGCTTAGCTGTTGATAAAAAGACAACTTATATAAATGTATGAGATTTAACTATATTTCATATTTAAAATAATATATTGTTTATAAAATTGAACATAATATTAAAATCTGTTGATAAGGGCTTTGCAAAGAAAAGATGTTTAATCAATATCTGGTGAATAAATATTACATACGAACTCACTATTATAATTTATTTAATAATTTCATTATCTTACCAATATCATACTATTAATGTTTTGCCTTTGACTTTGCCTAGTGCACTAAAATTATAGATTTGTATGTAGAGTTTTGGGATGAAAATGCAAGTACCTACAAGGAAATAATACATTTGAGTTTGATCCCAGGTTCTCTTTAAAATGAAGCAAACGGGATACCAGCAAAGCTGGAACTCTTTCCTAAACAGATTTATTCTGTCTCAGTGATCTTAAGAAAATGCCATGTTACAGCAGAATGGAAAAAAATGTCTAATTGTGATAAATGTTTAAAAGCACAAAGATGCCTTTTTTTCAGCAATATGGATAATCTTAGAGGACATTATACTAAGTGAAACAAGCCAGTCATAGAGGGACAAACACTGCATGATTCCACTTACATGCGGTGTCTAGAATAGTTAAATACATAGAAACAGAGAATACAATAGTGGTTGCCAGGGACTGGACAGTGGAGGAAATAGAAATTGTTGTTTTATGGGTATAAAGTTTGTTATGCCAGATGAATAAATTCTAGAGATCAGCTGTACTTATAGTTAACAACATGGCATTATACACTTTAAAATTTGCTAAGAGGGTAGATTGCATATTAAGTGTTCTTGCCACAAAAACAAGCAAACAAGCAAGTAAGTAAACAAGGGAACACAAGAAAACTCGGTGAGGTGCTGCATATTTACCTTGATTGAGGTGATGGCAACATGGATGTTAGCACAAGTCCAGACTCTTCACACTGCACACATTAAAACCGTACAGTTCATTGTATATGAATTATACCTCAATAAAGTCGTTTTAAAAAGAGCATTAGCATACCATCTTTGCAAGTTTGAAAATCTATTTAATTGAACTGTATTCACTAAAGAAAGACTGGCTAAGTATAGCAACATAGCCTCAACTCAGACTTTCAAGGATATGCAAGAAATATATGAACTTGATCAATTTGGGGTTCTTTATTTTAGGGGCCTCTTGAAGACAATGCAAATCCAAATGAGTTCTAGCTAAATGTATTATAACAGCTTTTTTAGATCTAAAGCAGGTACACCCACACTAGAAGTATCACTCCAGTAACCTAAAGTGATGCTGCTATGGTTTGAGTATATCCCTGAAAAAGCATCTGGAAACTTAATCCTCAATGCAAAAGTGTTTAGAATTAGGGTCTAATAGGAAGTGTTTATGTCTATGTCTAGCTGTGTTTCCACATTGTCAGCTTCTTCAACTTTAAGTCTTAGAATTGAAAGAGAGGAAGAAAACCAGGGAATATACCACCATACTGTTCATTGGGTCCTGAAGTCCCTACTTAGTATACCTTTTTCAAAGTTTTCAAATACATCTTCCTAAAAATGTAATTCTGTCACTGATATTTTAACATTTTAGAAACAAACCAAAATACTGGTTTATATCCTTACTATTGTTACTACTTTTTCTTTGTTGTAAAAGGCAAATGGAATAAATTATCACAACCATTTGTGTTGCCACTTCTCTGAAAATTAGACCAAAATAGAATTGATTTGCTGTTAATATATTTATAGCATGTAAATATGGCTCTAGCCTCATGAATGGATTAATGCTGATAAAAGGGCTTGAGGCTGTGAGTTCGATCTATTGCTCTCTCTAGTGCATGTTCTTTTGCCTTTCCAATTTCTGCCATTGGATGACAAAGTAAGAAGGCCCCTGCCAGAATGGGTACCTTGACCTTGAACTTTCCAGCCTCCAGAACTGTAAGAAATAAATCTCTGTTCTTTATAGATTACCCAGTCTGTGGTATTCTGTTATAGCAACACAAAGCAGACTAAGACAAATGCTTTGTTATGAACTGAAAGGAAAAAATTATCCCGGAGGCTCTTTCGCTGAACTATAATAGTGATCATACCTTCAGCAAATAACATTATCTAAACTTACCCAAAATTGTTGAAAGCCTCATACTAATTTGTCTGGAAACATATTTTGTGTATTTCTGGAAAAGTTGGGTTCAGATTGAAACAGTGGTATCTTTTCCTCTTTGTTCAATAAATATATTAACAGCAAATTGATTTCCTGTTTGGGTCTAATTATCAGAGGAATTACAACACCAAAGGTTACGGTGACTTATTCCATCTGCCTTAAACAACAAAGAAAATGTAGTATTCGTAGAGAATCATATTGGCCAGTCTTTTTGGTTTGTTTCTAAAATCTCAAAATGAGAATAAGAGAATTACTTTTCCAGGAAGTTGAATTAGAAAAATTTGAAAGCGGCAGACTAGCCAGGGATCTCGGAACCCAGCACTGTGGAAAGTTCCCTCATTTTCTTTTTCTCTCACATATCCAACACTTGGAGCTGAAGAGTTTGGCAGTATGGAAACACAAATAGACACAGAGTAAAAAACACCAGATAAAGTCTGCTCTCTGTAGCCAAAGGACCAAATATAGGGTAGCCTCACAAGACCAAAAACATTTAGATGATAATTTGCTATAGTCTATCTCAAGACCACAGGCAATACTGTGGTTGCACCCCAGGACATCTCAGCAAAAATTGAGTGGGAACCTAGACTTTCATCTTTGTGATGCTGGAACAAGTTGCAACAATACACCCACTGAATGGTGTCCCAAAAGGGCCAAGTAGGGACTCCTGGCCTAAAGCCACCATGTGGTGAGAAAGAATAAACTAGCCCATGTAGAAATAGCACCGGGAATTCCTGAAGCTACATAGATAGAGAAAGAGATGTTGTCCAGCCCTGAGCATTTCAGCTGCAGCCACTGTCTGCAATCCCATACAAGACCCTCAGCCAAAATGGTCCCAGTAAGCTTTTCTGGAATTTCTGATCCACAGAAACTGCAGTAAAATTTACACTTAGCATATATTGTTTTAATTCTAGGGTATTTTTATGACTCCCTGACTAGATTTTGTAAATTTGTAGCTAGTAGCATATAAATGCCTTACTCATCTTCAGACCGTCACTTTCTAGCCTACTTTTAGCATAGGCTTGACACTCCACTAAAGAGAGAAAGCCAAATGAAAGGGTAGTGCTGATGTTGCCCAAAGGCCAACATTATACTGATGCTAATTCTCATGTGATTAATATACTCACAGATAAGTATTAGCTTCAATATAATTTTGTTTCCAATATCATTTTCTCATATCCTTTTAAAAATATGTTTGTTCAGAAGTAGAGGATTTTTGTTGTGTGTAAAGTCAACTGTCAAAAGTGAGTGTAGGAAGAGTTACATGATAAAACTTACAATTTTTTTGTAACAGGTAGTTTTAAAGTGTGTTTTTCATCCCTATAAAGGTTTTCATATGTGTTTGCAGAGACAGAAAAAAAAACAGCATCTATAGATATATGCAGAGCAGCCTCTATAAATAGATGCCTATGGCAAGATTCTATCTTTTTGCACTATGAAATCATTTTTTCCACAGCATTTCTGTATGATTAATTCATTCTTTAAGCAGTTAGAAGCTGAGTAGTATGGGGTTTTTCTGGATAATTTGATTAGATGTCAATATTTTCAAAACTATGATTCTGTCAGAAAAGAAAATGGATCTTTTCTTTGTCCATTAAAATGGATTCTAACACTTAACATAGTATAAGAAGAAAAGTATGCTAATTTTAAAATTTAGAAGCATATAGGCTGCTTTTAAATGTTTTTTACGTGGACATTAGTAATTCAACCGATGTTATCTTCAAGATTTCACTTGAGGTTGTATAAACAACAGATTTGTAAAATGTATCTGGCGACCTCTTTACAGAATAAGTAAGATCCAGACCCTGTCCTTGAGGCTAGTAGAGCATATAGAAAAAATAATGAGAAAGATACAATCTGGTTAGTCTGATATGTACAAAGTGTTTTAAGTAGGAAGAGCTCTTTTTTGGAATGGCCTTCTGATCATTTTTTCAGAAAAAGCAAAAATGATTTCAAAGGGAATAATGAATGAAAAGCCCATGTATGCTTTGCTGTGTTTCTTCATGTAAGAAATACCCTACATTTTTAACATATTGAAATCGTGATAAATGACAAGAACACCTTAAGTAGTGTGATCTATTTCACCTTAATCAGAAAATTATGGCTTTAATCAATGAGTGTGTTGTTAGCTGCAAAAGAGAATGCAAGGAATTCCTTATTGGAGTATAGCATTTTTGGAAAGACAGTTAAAATCTTGGCCATTTTCTGCTCTGCATCATGAGTCCAAAGGAATAATCCAGGGGGTGCTGTGAGCCTGGATTATTGTGTTAGTTTCTTAGTATGTTCATATTCATATACCAAATGGTCTATGCAGAGCAAAAAAAAGTCAGAGAGCTCCAAGGACTCATTGTAGCTAAAAAATTAGCTTTATAAGCCTATATAACAATGCATTAGGGTTACAAAACTAAGTTTCCACGAGTCAGTGAGTGTAATTTGGATACAGATCTGTGCCTCAAGGATGGCTGTTGTGGCTGGAGAGAGAAATCCAAGTGAATGTTGTGGATTCATGTTTCCCAAAGGCCAACATTATACCGCTGCTAATGCTCATTATGCTTTTTGTTCCTATTACCATCATCTCAGTACCAGAAGAACATCATATATGCCTTCTGCCACCTCTCACTAATGTACATGCTCACAGAGAAAATAGCTTCCAGATAAATACAAAATAATATGTACTGTTAACTACCAGCACAACATTTGTACAGATCAGTAGAGCTTATTTAACTTGTATATTTGAATATTAATACCCCTTCAATGATAACTTTCTATTTTCACTTTTCCCTAGCCCCCGGAAACCACCATTCTCCCCACTGCTTCTATGAGTCTATTTTAGATGCCTCATATAAGTGAAATCATGCAATATTTATTTTTCTGTGACTGGCTTATTTCACTTAGCATATTGTCCTCTGTGTTCATCCACATTGTCATATATGGAATAATTTTCTTCATTTTAAAGTTGAATAATGTTTCATTACATGCATGTAACATATTTTCTTTATTCATTCATCTGTCAATGGACACTTAGGTTGTTCCATATCTTGGATATTGTAACCAATGCTGGAATCAAACTGGGAACACGGACATGTCTTTGAGATTCTGACTTCAATTCAAATGTGGGATTGCTGAAACATATGGTGGTTCTATTTTTAGTTTTCTGAGGGAACTCTATACTTTTTCTGTAGTGGTTGCTCCATTTGACATTCTCAACAATGGAGTACAAAGGTTCTAATTTCATCGCATTATTGCCAGTGCTTTTATGTCCTTGTGGTTCTGTTTTGTTTGTTTTTATAATAGCCATCTTAACATGTGTAAGGTGATACTTCATCATGATTTTGATTTGCATTTCCTGATGACTAAGAATATTGAGAAACTTTTTATATACCTCATGTCCATTTTTTTATGTCTTCTTTGGAGAAATGGCTATTCAAGTCTTTTCCCATTTTTAAATTGGAATTATTCATAATTATCATTATTTTGCTATTGAATTGTATTTTCTTCTATATTTTATATATTAACTTTTTATCAGATATTTTAAGCCATTTCAAAGCTGCCTTTTCACTTTATTGATTGTCTTCTTTACTTTGAAGAAGAATTTTAGTTTGACATAGTTTTACTTGTTTATTTTTTGCATATGTTGCTCATGCTTTTGGTGTCATATTCAAGAAATCATTTCCAAGACCAATGTCATGAAGCTCTGATTTTCTATTTTCTTCCAGGACTTTTACAGTTTCAGGTACTGCATTTAAGTCTTTAATCAATTTTTAGTTAATTTTTGCATATGATAGATATGGGTTCAATTTTATTATTTTACATGTGAATAGTTAAATTTTTCAACATCATTTACTGAAAGGCTATTCTTACCCATTGTGTATTTTGGCACCCTTGTAAAGGAGCAGTTGACCATATATCTCTGGGTTCTCTAGTCAGTTCTATTGGTCTGTATGTCCTTTTATATGCCAGAACCACGTTGTTTTTATTACTATAGCTGTGTAACATATTTTAAAATCAGAAAGTGTGATGCCTCCAGGTTTATTCCCTTTTCCCCAAATTTCTTTGGCTTCTGAGCAACATTTGTGGCTCCATATAAATTTCAACACTGTTCTTTCTATCTCTGTAAAAAATGACATTGGGGTTTTTATAGGGATTTCCTTTAATCTGTGTATTGCTTCAGAGAGCATGGTCATTTTACCAACATTAAGTCCTCCAATCCATGAAGATAGGTGTCTTCAATTTATTTATGTCTTCCTTCATATTTTCATCATTTTTTCATAATTTCTAAGTATACAAGTCTTTCACCATTTGATTAAGTCTATTCCTAAATATTTAATCACTTTTGAAACTATTGTGTCATAGTCAGTTTGGACTACTCTAACAAAAATACCACATACTGGTGCCTTAAAACAAAACAAAACAAATCAAAGCAAGACAAAAAGCATCAGGCCAGGCTTAGTGGCTCATGTCAGTAATTCTAGCACTTTGAGAGGCCAAGGCAAGAGGATTGTTTGAGGCCAGGAGTTCAAGACCAGCCTGGGTAACAAAGTGAGACAGTCTCTTCAAAAAATAAAAAGTAAAAAATAAAAAATAAATTAGCTGATCTTGATGGTTTGTGCTTGTAGTCCTAGTTAATTGAAAAGTTGAGGTAGGAGGATCACTAGAGCCCAGGAGGTTGAGGCTGCAGTGAGCCATGATTGCACCACTGCACTCCAGCTTGGGTGATAGAGCAAGACTCTGTCTCAAAAAGAAAAAAAAAAAAAAGCATTATTTACTCACAATTTAGGTGCTTGCATGTTCAATAGCGAAGTGCCAGCAGATTCAGTTTCTGGTAAGATCTTCCTGTTTTGCAGGCAAGATTCTTCTTTCTGTGGCCTCATATGGCTAAGAATAAGAGAAAGGAAGACAATTGTCTCCTATCTTTTTTTGTTATAAGGCAACAAATCCCATTACAGGGCTCCACCCTCATTGTATGATTACATCCCAACAGCCTCATCTCCAAATTCCATCAGATTGGATATTAAGGTTTCAATATATGAATTGTGGAGGAATGTAAACATTTAGTTCACAGCACTCCACCCCTGCCCAATCCTCAAATTTAATGTCTTCTCATATGCCAAATACATTCATCAATACCAAAGGTCCCCCAAATCTTACTCATTCCAGGCTTCAATCTAAAGTCTAAGTCTAAAGTTCTACCTAAATATCATCTAAATCTTGTACATGTGATATTCAAGATATGATTGTGAATATCACATATACATTCTAGTTATGAACTGTGAAAGCAAACAAGTTATGTGTTTTCAAAATACAATGGTGAAACAGACATAGGATAGACATTTCTATTCCAACAGAGAGAAATAAGAAGGAAGAAAGGAGTGATGTGTCTCAAGCAAGTTCAAAATCCAGCAAGACAAATTCATGAAATCATAAGGTACAAAAATTGTTTCCTTTGGCCTAATGCTCTACTCTCCAGGCCCACTGGGGTGAGAAGATACTTCTTACAGCTCAGCAGCGTGATGTACACCCATGGCTCTCTGCAGTGGTCTTACCCTCACGGCCTCTGTTGAAGACTATCTTCGCTGTTAAAACCTACATGTTGATTTTATAATCCCTGAATCAGGGCCATTCTTCCATTTTCTTAAATAATAGCTTAAGTTCTCAGCTGAATAGTTTTATCATCCTGTTTTGTAGAATTGAAGAAATCTAATAGCCTCCTGCATTCCATCACATTTCTTTTCCGTTCAGCTCAAAGTGATGATGTTTCTGCTGGGGTGGCTGATTTAGTCTATGGTTTTTATTCTTATCAAACTTTTGCTCACTCACACACCTAATGCTTTCTGCAAAATATTCTTTCTCATTTTTTGCAATACAGACAAGCTGATACTTTTCAAAATCTTTAAACTCTGTTTCCTTTTTGCTTAAAAATTACTTATTCAATTCATTTCTCTCTTCTCTTATTTTACTATAAGCAGTTAGGATAAACCAATTTTCTCCTTCAACATTTTGCTTAAGAATATCCTCAGCTAAATATCCAGTTTTATTATATGCAAGTTTATCTTCCACAAAACCCTAGAGCATACACACAATTCAGTCAACTTTTTGTTACCTTATAACAAGGTCCATCACTCCTACTTTGTCCAATAATGTGTTCCTCATTCTGTCAGACCTCATTAGAATTTTCATATATGTTCATAATTATACCAACATTCCACACATGATTATTTAGGCATTTTCTAAGAAAACAGAAGCTTTTTCTACTGCTCTCCTATTTTCTTTTTGAGGCCTCACCAGAATCCCCAATAAAGTTCCTTTATGACAATGTTAGTATTTTTCTACCGTGTGCTTCAAAATTCTTCCGTTGCTATACATTATCAAGTTCTAAGGTTGTTTCCTCATGTTTAGGTTATTTATTACAGCAATACCCAACTTATTAGTACCAATTTCTGTCTTAGTTCAAGATGCTATAATAGAAACATCAGTGACTAGGTGACTTAAAAAACAAAAGTTTATTTCTTACAGTTGTGGAGTCTGGAGAGTCAAATACCAATGTGCTGGCAAATCTGGTGTCTACTGAGAACTTTCCTTCTGGACTTCAAATGGCCTTTGTCTTACTGTGTCCTGATATGGCTGAGAATGAGAGAGATGAAATAAGCTGGCTCCTGCCTCTTCTTATAAAATAACAAATCCCATCATATAGCTTTACCCTTGTGACCTCCTATCCTCTCAAAATCTCATCTCCTAATACCATCACATTGAGAATTAGAGTTTCAACACACGAACTAGAGAAATGAGGACAGAAACATTCAGTGTATATCTTATTTTAAATGGGGTTGCTTTCTTCATTTTATTTTAAATAGTTATTAATGTATGTAGACAAAACCGATTTGTATTTGTTGATTTTGTATCTTAACACTTTATATAATTTGTTTATTTGTGCAGACAGCTTAGTGTGTGTGTGTGTGTGTGTGTGTGTGTGTGTGTGGCAAATCTTTAGGGTTCTCTATACACAAGATCGTGTCTTACATAAGCAGAGATAATGATACTTCTTCCTTTTCATTTTGGATGCCTGTTACTTATTTTTCTTACTTAATTGCTCTGGCTAGTGCTTCCAGTACTATGTTTAATAGTAGCATCAAGAATTGGGTTTCTTTCCCTGTTCCTGATCTTAAAAATAATAATAATAACAATTATTTTTCACCATTGAATATAATGTTAGTTGTTGTCTTTTTACAGATGACCTTTATTGTTCTAATTTTAGGTTGTTGACAGTTTTTATTATGAAAGAATTTTGCATAGTGTCATGTGCATTTCCTGTACTTGTATAATAGAGAGAATATGTATTCTTTGGCTATTGGATGGAATGTTCTGTATATGCCTTCTAGGTCCATTTGTTCCATAGTATAGTTCAAGCCCACCTTTTTATTGAATTTATGTCTGATTGTTCTATCCATTAGTAAAAGTAATCTATTGAAGTCTCTCATTCTTATTACATTATCTGTTTCTCCCCTCAGACCCATCAATGGTTGCTTTTTACATTTGGGTTATCTAATTGTGAATGCATATATATTTATAATTGTTATGCTTTCCTGATATATTGATTCTTTCATCATTATATAATGACATTTTTTGACTCATGATAGTTTTTGACTTGAAGTCTATTTTGTCTGGTAAAAGTATATCCACCTCTTCTCTCTTTTGTTTATCTGTTGCAGAGACTGTCTTTCCCCTATTCTTTCACTTTCTGCTTTTGTGTACATTTAAATATAAAATAAGCCTCTTATAGACCGTATGTAAGTGTATACGTAAGTCTCTTATAAAACAGTATGTAGGTATATATGTAAGTCTCTTGTAGATGGCATATAGTAGGGTCTTTTTTAAATATTCTTTCAGCCAATCTATGTTTTTCATTGGTGAGTTTAATTTCTTTTTGTTTAAAATAATTATTGATAGGAAAGATTATTACATTGTTGTTTTCTGTCTGTTCTTTTCCCTTGTTTTCCTTTTCTTCTGTCTGTCTTTATATTACGTTAAATTTTTAGTGTTATGCTTTAATTCCTTTCTCGTGTACTTTGAGTACCTTCTTTTGTGCATAAAAGCATTTACTTTGTGGTTATCATGAGCTTACATAATACATCTTATAATTGTAACAGGAGTTCCTCAGGAGCGATCGCCTCTGCCTGGCTGTTGCCCTGTCTGGGAATTGAGGAGCACCTCTGCCCAGCTGCCACCCCATCTGGGAAGTGAGGAGCGCTTCTGCCCAGCTGCTGCCCCCATCTGGGATGTGAGGACCAGCTCTGCCTGGCCGCTGTCCTGTCTGGGAAGTGAGGAGCGCCTCTGCCTGGCTGCTGTGCAACCTTCCAAGTGTGAAGTGACAGCCTTGTGTGTGATCTTTTCTGTCTTCCCCAAGTTTGCATTTTTGACATTAAAGTTTACTTTTTAATTAAAAGTTTTAAATTGGAGAATAAAAAATAATAATAATAACAACTTAACTTCAATTGCATAAAAAAGTTACATTTTACTTCTCCACCCTCAAACTTTTATGTTACATTTCACAATTTACATATTTTGTAGTGTGCATCTATTTACATTTTTGTAGCTACAATTTTGCTTTATACCTTTGTTTTCTACTAAAATTAATAGTGATTCACAGACTATCAATAACGTATTATAGTATTTTGTATCTTCCTATAAATTATCTTTGACTTTTATGCTTTCATAGGTTCTTGTGTAGCAACAGCAGTTCAATATCCCACTTACATAATGCATCACTTTTCTCTTGGTGCTTTCAAAATTCTACCTTTATGCCTTGACTTTGATAGTTTTATTATAATATGTTCCAGTGTATATTTCTTTAAATTTATCTTATTTGAGGTCTTCATGTTTCAGGAATCTGGATGTCTATTGCCCTTCAGATTTGGGAAATTTTCAGGCATTATTTCTTAAAATAAGCTAACCACATAACTCTTTTTCTCTATCTATCTTTCTCTATTTCTTGACTCCTTAAACTTCCATGAGGCATATATTGGTTCACTTGATGGTGTTCCATAATTCCCTTAGTCTTTATTCACTTTTTAAAATTATTTTTCTTTTCTGGTCTGCCTTGATAATTTCAAAAGAGAAATTAACTTCACTGATTCTTTCTTCTTCTTGATTACAGATGTTATTGAACCCCCTTGTGAATTTTTCATTTTTGTTATTGTATACTTCAGCTCCAGAATATCTGTTGGTTCTTTTTAATGGTTTCTATTTATTGATATTTTCATTTTATTCATGGCACATTTTCTTGATTTTATTTAGTTGTGTATCTGTGTTCTTTTGTAACTCACTGATTTTTTGAGATGAGGTTGTCCAGGCAGGAGTGCAGTGGTGTGATCATAGCTTGCTGCAGCCTTGAACCCTTGGGCTCAAGTGATCTTCCAGCCTTAGACTCCCCATAGCTGAGACTACAGGCACATACCACCATACCCAGCTAATATTTTTATTTTTATTTTTGTAGATATGAGATATTGTGTGTTGCCCAGGGCAGTTGCAAACTCCTGACTCCAAGCTATCCTCAAAGTGATGGGATTACACTTTTGTAGTGGGCATAAACCACCACCACACCCAGCCTCTGATTTCTCTAACAGAAAATTTACGGATCTCCATTTCTTTAGAGTCAACTACTGGAGATCTAATTTTTTCCTTTGATTGTGTTGTGTTCCTCTGATTCTTCATTTTCCTTTAGTCTTGAATTGTAGTCTGTGCATTTGAAAAAACATCCATGTCTCCCAATCTTTACAGACTGGCTTTAATAGGCAAAATCCTTTGCTGATTAGTATGGCTAGAGACTCAGGGTCTCTCAAAGAGCAAGCTACTCACCCTTTTATTTGTTTTTAGTTGCCTCAACTAAACTATGCCAGTCTCATCAGCACTTTGGATGAGGCAAGACAGAACCTGGGCCCTTGGGCAGCACATTAAAAGGCTGATATATTTGTGTCATGCTCCATTCCACTCACTTCCCTTTGTGAGAGAAGCCTCAGGTTCTGCACCTCCTCTCAACTTGCAGAACCGTACTGGCTGCAGAAACCTCTCATCTATTTTTATTTTGTTCTTAGATGTCCCAGGCATTTGGACTATGCCAGGTCTGTCAGCACCCCAGGTGAGGCAAGACAGAAACCAGTTCTTTTAGCAAGGCACCCAAAGGCGAGGAATACTGGAAGATTACTCCACTATCTTTTCCCCAAGGAAGACGCCATAGGGTAAAAGCTCAGTATTAAGACTGAGCTATGTCTGCTAGGAAAAGGCTGATATATTCAAGGTTAAATTGCAATTTTTAAACATTACTATTTGGTAGCTGTTTTGTTTGTGCTCATGTGGGGTACTGCAACCTTTTAAGTGGATTTTGGACTTCTCATAAGGCATTGTATTCTATATATCATTGTGAAATTGGCACTTCTGTTGGGGAACACGGGCTGGAACTTCCTTCCAACATCTCCCTGATGTCACTCTACTATATGCATTGTTGAAGAATATAAAAATGAATTTCTAAAAAAAAAAAACGAATGATATAGATACCAAAAGCACCATTTAAAATGTATTATTTGATTTAATGGGCATAAACTTTTGTCTAATTGCTATGAATTTTCCATTACACCGATCTAAAACTCAACTTATGAGGATATTAATGCAATTTTGGCAGACACAGAGGCTAGCCTCTGTCACATTTAAAACAAAGAAAGAAAAGAAGAAAAAGTGTTGCTTTTCTAAAGAAATATTAAGATATGTGAAAATAACAAGGGATACATCTTTAAAGTAAGTAAATTGCTGTATAATTTTTTGAACCTGGGGAGTGCTGCTACTTATTGCTGTCCCGAGTAAGCAGTTCATAAATAACATGTAATCTACTGATGATTCCTTCTGCATTTTTACTTTCAAGTTGCCTACACTCTAGTTGAGGAGATTAATTGCATGTTTTAAATTTGATTATCAGATGAAGATTAATAGGGCAGAAAATAGATTTGCAGAAAATCTTTCTTGCTTTTTGTTTTCATGTTTGTTACTGTGTTTTCAAAATATCAAATTTAATTACTAATCAATGTTGACTATAGAAAATTGATATTTAATTTTTACTTTGAACAATATAATTCACTACTCAAACATAACAAGGAACACATTTATACAAAAAATAACAGGATGATAAATAGAATATGTAAAACAAAATGTCAAGAAAGAAGAATAAATATAAACATGTATATTTACCATAAAAAAATCAGTGAGCTTAATTTTCACAAAAATTGCAGCTATGGGATGTTTAAAAAGCTATACCTAAAACAAAATGCCAGCTAAAAATTAGAAAAAGAGCAATATATAACTATAAATCAGGCATATGTATGCTAGAAATCAATAAAACTACAATAGCATTGCATTATTAACAATATTAATAGAATTATCACCAATTAATTTAAGGGGAAAATTAATGGGAGCATAATGCTTCTTGAGTTTAAAATGGCCATGTAAAATTCTGCTTTCATGTAGATAATATTAACATACATAAATAAAAATCTTGTCTAAATAACAAGATAAACTGCAAAAATGCAAATAATACTCATATGTGTTAGTTTTCTATTGCTACTGTAAAAATAATTACAATTTTAGTGGGCTTAAGACAACACAGATGATTATCTTGCAATTCTTGAGGTCAGACATTCAAGACAGGTATCCCTGGGCTAAAATCGAAGTGTGATATAGTTTAGATGTTTGTCCCCTCCAGATTTCATGTTGAAATGTCATCCCCAGTTTTGGAAATGAGACCTAGTGAGAGGTGTTTGGGTGGTGGAGGCAGCTCCCTCATGAATGGCTTGGTGCTGTCCCTGCAGTAATGAGTGAGTTCTGACTGTTTGTTTACATAAGAGGGTGCTTAAAGGAGCCTGGCAGCTTCTCCCCTGTCTCTCTTGCTCCCTCTTTCATCATATGATACACCCTTTTCATCTTCCATAAGGAGTAAAAGCTTTCTGAGGCCTCACCAGAAGCAGAGCAGATGCTGATGCCATACTTGTACAACCCGCAGAACCATGAATGCAATAAGCCTCTTTTCTTTACCTGGTCTCAGGTATTCCTTTATAGCAGCACAATGCAGATCAATACAAGATGTCAACGAGTATGTACTCTTTTCTAGAGACTCTGGAGGAGTGTCTGTTTCTTGCCTTTTCTGACTTTTAAAGGCTTCCTCATACTTTCATGCTTTACCCCTTCCTTTTTCTTCATAGCCAATACTAAACAGCTATATTTTTCTCACATTGCCATCTTGTTGGTTTGCCTTTTTCTGTCACCTTCTTTCAGTTATAAGGACCCCTGTGATTACATTGGTCTCACCTGGATAATGAAAGATAATTTTTTTCATCTCAAGGTCAGTTGTTTAGCAACTCTAATTCCCTTGGTCATATAATGCACAGTTTCAGGGGATTAGGCTATGAATGTCTTTGAGGTGGCATTTTTTTTGTTTAAAACATCATATCACACATATTTTCTAGAAACTTCCAGAACATTTAAACAAAAATAGCTAATGAAAAAAATTACATAGCAAAAAGAGTGCACTTACAATAGGATATTATTTATTTGCAACTCTCATGAGTTTTTCATCTATTTTGTATTTACAACTCTTAGAAGTCTTTACTACACATTTAATGTATAAGAAAAAAATAAAATGACAAAGTTTATATTATTTGATGAGAAAGTGAGGATATTCATACTATATTCAAAACAATAAGACAGAAATGGGGGTGTTGGGAAAATGTACACATGTGCTTATGGATAAGTATAAACAGTGGAATTTAATTTTTAAATAGACTCAATTGTTCTCAGCACTAAGACAATTGAAAATTGAAATTATAAGTTATGAATAATTAAATACTAACAAATTAAGTTGCAAAAACTCTGAGATGTCAAGAAGGTGAGTATAAGAAAATTGATCACTGTGTATCTATGTCAAACTAGAAGAAGACATAGGTTAAGAAAGCAGACCTCAATATCTCCTCTTTTACGATTTACAGATACAAGTAATAACAATAAAGCAAACCAAAGAGTCTACCAGAAGCAGTCAAATAGTGAAAGTACTTGTTAGAATGTACTTGTTACAAATGATTTGTTAGAGCAGAAAAAAATATTTAAAGTAATAATAGCTAAGTTTTATCCAAAATTAGTGACAGACATTAAATCACTGATCCAGAAGTTTAAAATACCAAACAAGATGAATACCAAAATCCTACACCTTGACATATCTCATATATATATATATATATATATATATATATATATATACAAATTGCAATAAAGTTTAAGAACATCTACCTAAATGTTTAATAGTGCCCAATTCTGTTATGATAGCTTTAATAGAGAAATTTATGTGGGCATACATAAAATATTAAAAACCTCAAAATATCTATTATGTTTAAAATGTAAGTATATTGTTTTTAAAGAGTACTGAATAGGAATAAAACTGCCATAATTACTACTACCACTTTAAATATTAAAAACAGCTAAGATAGACAAAATGAGAAACACAAGGAAAAAAATTTAGCTTGGATTTTGCTCACTTCATTTAGTGAAAATTTTAGATACTTTGATAATATAGAGTAAGTTTGCAAGAAAACTTTATTTTAATATTTTAAAGTATTTTTCTGGTATAAAGAAATATCTTACCTTAATTTATTCATTCTCATATATTATTTGTACTCTGGTCTTAATTTAAAAAACAGAATTTACATTTTAAAAATCATATTCGCTGATTGGAAAGGAAACTTTTCCTTAAGCATGGTAGTACAAAAAATAAAAATTTAAATCTCAATTGTGGGGCTTTTCTGGATAAGTTTGTAATGCCCTTTTTCATAATGGAAAACCAAGGCTTTAAAAATTAATTTAGCTCAGTTTTCAGAAAAATAGGGTAAAAATGTTTTTCTATATATTCCTCCTGCTAAATAAAACTGATAACTCTGCACGTTCTACAATATACACTAAATATAATAAGCACTAAATAAACTCTGAAAGCTCTGAAATTTGGAGAGAAAAAATGGCATACTGGCTAAGGACTTCATTGTCTAGGGACTTCCGGATCCAAGGAATGACTGGGTGGTGGTTTTCTACATTTTCTAACTATTTCATATTTGCTTGACTTGAAACTGAAGAAACCAACACATGGAAATGTCAATGGATACAGGCAAAAATAGTCTAAGAGAAGCCTGTTCTCCGTAGCTTAAGGACTAGGAAAAGAGCAACTTACCAAAACAGAAAACTTGTAGACAGGTGTTTCTACTTAGCCCCATCAGCAAAGGCAAAGTCAGGAGACTCAACTTACCAAAACAGAAAACTTGTAGACAGGTGTTTCTACTTAGCCCCATCAGCAAAGGCAAAGTCAGGAGACTCAACTTCAATTAAGGGGAGAACAGAAAGCCTTCAGGTGAGGCTGATTTCTTCTCTTTGTAAATGTTGCAGCAACCTTAACAAGAGAGATCACTTCCAATTATATCTACAAACAATTAGGATGCTGCTGCTTCTTTTTTTTTTTTTTTTTTTTTTTTTTTTTTGAGATGGAGTTTTGCTCTGTTGCCCAGGCTGGAGTGCAGTGGCACAATCTCAGCTCATTTCAACCTCTGCCTCCCAGGTTCAAGTGATTCTCCTGCCTTAGCCTCCCGAATAGCTGGGACTACAGGCATGTACCACCATGCCGGGCTAATTTTTGTATTTTTAGTAGAGATGGGGTTTCACCATGTTGTCCAGGATGGTCTCAATCTTTTGACCTCACTATCTGCCTGTCTTGGCCTCCCAAAGTGCTGGGATTACAGGCGTGAGCCACCGCGCCTGGCCCAGGATGCTCTTTCTTTTTCACAAACATTAATTTAACGCTGTATTACCATTTATTTTCTCACATTAATTAAGGTGTAATAATTATTTGATCTATTTTAACTCTTAAATGATATAAATGTTTTTAAGGGAATATAACATTTATTATATTCAGGAATTGATATAGGCATCAATATTTGTCGTAAAATTTGAGAAACTGAGCAAATTTGGTTTAACTGTTCATTCATTCAAACATTTGTATATGTGTGTATGTTTTATGTGTTAAGAACATTTTAAGCTCTTAGACTTAAGCAAAATAGACAAAAAAAAATCTGTTCTCCTGACACTATGAATAGAAAATAAAAGATTATGTCAAACAAATTACATAGGATAATTGAAGATAACAGCTATATAAAAAGTATTGTATGGAGCTTATGGGTGGGGATATGAGGAATGCATTTAAATATGGTGATAAAAGTAAATTTCATTGAGTAGATTATATTTGAGAAAAGATATTTGCGTTATATAAGAAATAATAAAATATAGAATATAGTGAGTGAAATTTCTTATTTAAATTTACTCATACTGCCTTTTTTTTTGACAGGTTTCTCTCTGTTGCTCAGGCTGGAGTGCAGTTCTACAATCAGGGCTCACTGCAGCCTCTGCCTCCTGGGCTCAAGTGATCTCCCACCTCAGCCTCCAGAGTAGCTGCTACAGGCATGTGCCACCCCACAGCAGGCTAATTAAAAAAAAAATGTAGAGATGGTGTCTCCCTGTGTTGCCCAGGCTGATCTCCAACTCCTGTTCTCAAGCAGTACCTCCCTCTTGGCCTCCAAAGTGCTTGGATTACAAACGCGAGCCACCACATTGGACTTCAACATTGCCTTGTGCAAACATTTTACTATCAAAGGTAAGTGTAAATTAAGCATTAGAGCTGTAAAGTATTGTTTATTTCTGGATAGAAATGTGAACTTGCCTCACATAGATACAAGTAATATACAACATATTATATATGATTTATAGTGTGTGTGTGTGTGTATACACACACATCATTTTCTGGATATACTTACAAATAACAATTTACAACAATTTAAGAGAAAAAATTACCAAGTTATTCAGTGGCTATAACTATGCAAGTGCACTTTGGATTTATCTCACTTGAACTGGTTCAAATATTCATCACAGATTTTTTGATGTATAAATTGCAGCTGCCAAATGAAGCCAAATCAGAGAAACAAAACAAAGCCTTGAGACTCTTAGTTGCATCTGTGCCTTAATTGATGTCTTAATTGATATGACCAGATTGAAAAATCCTTCTCTTTAAAAAATGTATATTTAAAGAACCTAAAGAAGTAATGAAAATGCCATGATTGAGAAATTTTTTGGTTTAATTAAATAAGTTGTTTTGGAAACGTTAATATATTTTATAGATGTATGTACTTGAAAGACTGCTTAGCTAGAGTTAGAATTGTGTGCTAAGATTTTGGAAGTATTTCTTCAGAGAGGTTACAGAGGATCTCAAAAGATTTTAAGCAAACTTAAGGGGAAAAAAGCAATGTTTTTTCATAGTAAGTTTTTATAGACTAATAATAACTTGAAGCAATCTGTTACAGGCTGAATCAGAAATACATATAAACTAATTTTCTATCCTAATTCTGATCATAATCTTATTCGTATATCTTATTATCTATGTAGCACATCCCTCAACGAAACCCTATGTATTAATATTTAATATGTTCAAGGGAAATAATAAAACATATTAAATGAGTAGGTAAGATTTAAGAGTTTAAGAAAAAGAGGGACTGTGCCATTCCTTGTGAAGCTATAGCCTAACCAGATTTTTCAGAACAATAGTATTTGTCGTTCAGGGCTTCAGGTATACTGCATCAAGCTGATAGAGGTACATAAGCCATGTTTAATTTTATATACCCAAGTAGGAGAAATAACCGCCATCTCATTCCCATTCAATCAGCATTTAGCCATTGTTTAATCCAGTACAACACCTGGTGATCGCATTTCAAAACACTGAAATATAACACTTTAAAAATCTCCAAATTTTATTAGCAACCTGGCATTTCTTTTGATTCCTGCAATCCACTAACTGCTGGGCATTTCTACTTTGTTCTCTTGCAGTCATCTCAAATGGAATTTATTTTTAAAAATGCATATTAATCCTCACCTAAAACAACCAAACTAACAACTCCTCAAATGATAGTGTCTTATATGTTGTAATTGCACCTCCCACTTCTCATTTATATGTCCTCTTTATTTTTGCTCCAGCATGCATAGGATAACATGACCTTCTTTGAATTTCTCATTTTTAAGAGAAATTTAAAATAGTTTTCCTTATATATAACTTTACTCAACCTAAATAATTCAACATTCTGTAGAATGGTCAATCTGTAAACTTTCCACAGCATCATTTTCCAACAATTGGCTTGGTTAGCCTTCACCAAACTCTTTGCATCTGCCATGAGTTCTGTGCTCCCTTTTTGCCTATTTTTCAAATATTATTGTTTAAGATTCACTTTAAAGCTTTTATTACACATCTTTTATTGGCTACCAAATGTCAAAGTAATTTTCCTTTATTCCAGAATCATCGAGAATAAAAAATAGTTACTTTATTTTATTTGCATTTTTCACAGCATTGAAATTGGCAAGATTTAAAGATAACATATGGAATGAAGGCTGCTCATCATAGTGTTCTATCCATTCTCTGTCATAGTGTTCTATCCATTCTCTGTCATGCAAGATGAAAAATCAGGTTGATTTTTGTGTTTTTCTGAGTTGTAAAAGAATCTATACCTCAAAATTCAGAGTGAATTAGATCTAGGAATATGGACTCATGGACAGACTCAAAGTTCACAAAAATTCAAACCAATAATCCTCAAATAATTATTTTAATGGGGACAGAGAGAACTGGGTTTTTAATTATAAAATTTTCTTTTTCTCTCTTATATCTAAATTAGTCATTGATAAGTGTGTTTATTATAGAATGGCTGAAGCAAACTATTTATTGAAGAAAGTGGATATGAAACAATTTTAACATTTATACAGTAAATTTAAATCAGCCTTTACAGTTGAATAACATACTAATTTGCAATATCCAGATTCAGAAAGCCAACTGACAGTGATTATGTCTAAATTGTGGTAGGATACTTTTTAATTAATGAACCACATTTACAGCATTATTAGGTTTACAGAGAATTAAGCAGAAAGTACAGAGATTTCCCATAAACCACCTCCTGTGCCCCCCACTTCCCATGGTTTGCTTCATTATTAACATCATGCATTACTAGAATGTCATCAATTATGGAGTTTGACAAATGCATAAAGTCACCTATCCACCTTTCAGTATCATACAAAATAATTTCCTATTTATCCCTCTCTCCCTCCCTCCCCCTGAACCCCTAGAAAATCTGATCTCTATAGCTTTGCCATTTCCAGAATGTCATATAGTTGGCAGGCGAGAATTCTACTACTGAACCACCAATGCTAGAATGTCATATAGTTGGAATCACACAATATGTAGCCTTTATAGACTGCCTTATTTTAATTATTAATAGGCAGTAAAGTTTTCTCTATGTCTTTTCATGGCTTGATAACTCATTTTTGTGTGCAAGTGCTGAATAATATTCCATTGTATAGATGTAACATGGTTGATTTATCCATTCACCTATTAATAGGCATTTGGATGCTTCCAACTTTGGGGTATTATGGACAAAATGTTTACTATAAGCATTCATGTCCAAGTTTTTGGATAGATAGATGTTTCCAACTCATTTGGATAAATATCTAGGAGCACAATTGCTAAATTTTGTTGTATGACAATGCTTAGTTTTGTTAGGAACTGTCAAGCTGTCTACCGAAGTGACTGTATCATTTTGCATTCCCACAAGCAATGAATGAGATTTCCTGTTTCCTCCCATCCTTACTAACTATTGCTGTTGTTCATGTTTTGGATTTAAGGCATTCTAATAGGTGTATAGTAGAATCTTATTGTTTTGTTCACCATTTTCTAATGACATATATTGTTAAGCATCTACTTATATGCTATTTGCCATCTGTGTATCTTCTTTGCTAAAATGTCTGTTCATATTTTTAAATTTTCTTACCTTGAGGTTTTATAAAAATATATTTTATTTTGTTTTATTGCAAATTGACAAATTATAATTGTATATATTTATGGGGTACAAAGTGATTTTATAATTTATGAATACAATGTGCGATGACTAAATCAAGCCAATTAAAACATCCATCACCTCATATATTTATTTTTTTGTGATCAGGTCATTCAAAATGTGCTCAGCAATTTTGAAATGAACAATACATTATTGTTAACTATATTCACCCTTCTGTGCAATATATCTCAAAAAAACTCTTATTTCTCCTGTATAATTGACACGTTGTATCCTTTGACCAACATCTTTCCATTCTTCCAACTCCTTAGCCTCTGCTACCCATCATTTTACTCTCTTCTTCTATAAGTTTGGTTATTTTAGATTTCACCTATACGTGAGAACATTTGCTGCTTGTCTTTCTGTGTTTGTCTTACTCACTGAGCACAACATCCTCCAAGTTCATCCATGTTGTCACAAATTTTATGTTTTGACAGAATTTTCTTCTTTTCTCAGACTGACTAGTATTTCAAGGTATAATGTATATTTTCTTTATCCATTTATCTGTTAATGGATGCTTGAGTTTTAAATATTCTTCATATGTTACGCATGCATGTCCTTTTTCAGATGTGTGTTTTGCAAATATCTCTCTTCATTTGCGACTTCTTTTTTTTCCTCTTAACAGTGCCTTTCATAGAGCAAAATTTTTTGAATTTTAATGAATTACATCTTATTAATTTTGACTTTCATGGATCATGTTTTCAGTGATGTATCTAAAAAGTCATCACTAAACCCAAGAGCACCAAATGTTCTCCAAATTACCTTTTAGAAATTTTATAGTGTCATTTTTTACAACTTAGTTTTATGATATATTTTAGGTTATTTTGTGTGACAGAGGTAAGGTCAGCGTCTAAATAAACTTTTTTTCATATTCTATAAACACCTACTGATAATATATTACATATTGCATATTCAGATACTTTTTTTCCTTCTTGGATTTCCAGTTGTTCCAACATTTATTGAGAAACATATTTTTCTCCATTGAATTGCCTTGTTATTTTTCAAAATTTACTTGACCTTATTTGCATAGATCTCTTTCTCAGCTCTCTATTCTTGTCAATGGATCAATTTGTCTATTCTTTTTTTTTTTTTTGAGACGAAGCCTCACTCTGTTGCCCAAACTGGAGTGCAGTGGCTCGATGTCAGCTCAATGCAAACTCTACCTTCCAGGTTCAAGTGATTCTCCTGCCTCAGCCTCCTGAGTAGCTGGGACTACAGGCACTTGCCACCATGCCTGGCTAATTTTTGTATTTTTAGTAGAGACGGGGTTTCACTATGTTGGCCAGGCTGGACTTGAACTCCTGACCTCATGATCCACCCTCCTCGGCCTCCCAAAGTGTTGGGATTACAGGCGTGAACCACTGTGCCCAGCCAATTTGTCTATTCTTTTATTCCTTTTTCTTTTTTAGACAGGGTCTCACTCTGTCAGCCGGGCTGGAGTAAAATGGTGTCATCATGACTCACAGCAGCTTCTGCCTCCAAGCCTCAAGCAATTCTCTCATCTCAGCCTCCTGAGTAGCTAGGGCTACAAGTGTGTGCCATCACACCTAGCTAGTTTTTTATTTTTTTTATTTTTTTTTATTTATTTTATTTTATTTTATTATTTTTTTGTAGAGACAAGAGTTTCACCATGTTTCCCAGGCTGGTCTTGAGTTCCAGGACTCAAGCACTCCAACTGCCTCAGCCTCCCAAAATGTTGGGGCTACAGGCGGTGAGCTACCACACTTGGCTTCAGCTTGGTCGTTGTTGGTGTATAGCAGGGTTATTGATTTGTGTACTTCTATTTGGTAATAACCCAAAAGTAATTTACTTGGATTTTTTCACTGTGTTTGATTGACTCTATATATCAATTTGGGAAAACCACTTAATAGCATTGAGTCTTCCTAACCATAAATGTGAAATATCTCTAAATGTATTTAGATCTTCTATGATATCTGTCATCAGAGTATTGGTAGTTTTCTCATAAACATCTTGTGCATATTTTGCTAGATTTATATCAAGGTGTTTCATTTTTGATGCTAATGTCCATGATGCTGTGTGTTTTAATATCAACATTTTTTGTTCAAAATAGATGTAAAGGAAATGAATTGCCTTCTGTATATTAAACTTTTATCCTGTAGCCTTGCTATAATTACTCATTATTGTAGGAATTGTGTTGTTATTGTTTCTGTGGGATATTCTACATAAACAAGCATTCCATTTACAAAAAAAAAGGCAGTGGTATTTATTCCTTCTCAATCCATATATACTTTTTCTGTTTTTTATCATTTTGGATTAGCTAGGACTTCCGGTATGATGTTGAATTGACACACTGAAAGAGGAAGGCTTTACCTTGCTCTTGAGTTAAGATAGGAAGCTTCTAATTTCTCAAAATTAAGTATAATGTTAGCTGTAAGACTCTTGTACATATTGTTTATAAGTTGGGTAAATTCCTTTGTATTCTTAATGTGATGAGATTTTTAAAATTATAAATATTTTTGGATTTTGTAAAACAGTTTTTCTGCATCTATTGACATGATCATATGACTTTTTTATTTAGCCTGCTGATGGGAAAGGTAGCCAACCATAACACGTAACTATTGACCACTTCAAATGTTGCCAGCGTAACTGAAGAATTACATTTAAAATTTTTAATATTAAATAATTTAAATTTAAAAACTGAAGCAGTATAAAATACAGGCCTAATACTGCCCAAGAAAATTTAATATTCTACTTGAGATGTTCTATAAATGTAAAATATACCTTGCAATGAAAAGACTTAGTACTATAAAAATAAATATTTTATGAATAAGTTTATAATTGATTGCATATTTAGAGACTAATGTGTTTTTAAGTGGGTTAAATATAATATTAAAACAAAATTTACCACTTCTAATATTGGTAATGTGGCTGCTAGAAAATGTATATTTACCTGTTTCTCAAATTATATTTTTCTTAGATGCCATTGTTCTAAAGATACTAATTTATCTTAGGGGCAGCAAACAAATCGTGATTTCCCATGTTTCCTAAATCAGTACTTCTCATACATTAATGTACTTACAATTCATAGAGTGATACTGTTAAAATGCAGTTTCTGATTTCTTAGGACTAGCCAAGGTCCTAAGAATCTACATTTTAAACAAATCCTCAGGTAATGATAATTATGCTTTTTAGGACATTCATAAAAAAGGGAAATGCTTAAGAATATTTTGGTAATTTGTTTAATTTTTATATAAGCAAATTTAAGGTTTATGTCCTAAAGTTAAAAAAAAAAGTAGGGAAAAATTTGTTTAAAAATTATTTTTCTGGGCAACTATAGGAGTCAAACAAACTAAGATGAAAAATTATTAATAGACAGCAACAATGTCAATTGGAACATTCATTTCTATTTGGTCTCAGCCTAAGTGTTAGCACCTAAAAAAGAAATAAAATTTCTCTTAGATAAATATTTCTCTTTATTTATTCTCCATATTTTCTTCAAATTATTTTTATTAACCTTCTCCTAAATTGTTATAGTTTATTTGTATGTTTTGTCTATTTCTTTCTCTCTAACTAGGATACATGCTTAGTGAGGGCAGGCATCATGTCTACTTATTTCATCATCATTGTAACCTAAGAACAAGACATTGAGTAAGAACTTAGTAATAATTGCTGAATAAGTTAACCTGCTTTTAGACAAATGGAAAATAGGAAGATATTTGCAAATGGTTGGATTTAGTCAGTATAAGAAACATTTATTAATGTTTAACTTTATTTTTTATTTTTTCTTATTCAGTTTCTCAAAAATTATTTTGGAGAACTCTTTTCTAAATTTCTAGCTAGCAATTATTTTAAGTGTTAAAACAAAGATATAATTCAGCAGAATATCTCATGTTAATCTTAAATATAGTCATTACAAAACCCATCCTGATTGTCTTCCTCCAATCTTCTGCCCCTGCCTCAATTATTCTCTCTCTCCCAATCATACTAATACTTAGCGATATACACATACATGTCTATGTATACATACATACATACATAATGTACACACATATATGTGTGTGCATATATGTGTGTATATATTAACACATATATAGGAGTGAGTTAATTGGTACATCATAGCATTGAGTATGGTATTTGGCAGCTAAATTTAGAAATATATATATACAGTGACAAAATGGAAGCCTTTAACTTATTTTAGATAAATTTTGGAATCTTTACATATTTTGGAGTACATTGACACTTATTTTTCATCATATGTAAACAACGTTAATTTCCCCATTTTATAAATGCAATAATAACATCAAGAAAACCTCCCTTCAACCTTAGCTCCAATCTCTCTTTCATTATACTCAAAATCCTCAAAAATCATTATAAAATTTATCTGCACATTTTTTATGCTTCTTAATCTCTCTCCAACCTACTTGTCTGATTTCTACTCTTTACGCCATCAAAATTTGTCCAGCGAGTTTCACAAATTAACGAATTGATTATGAAAATGGGTTATTTCAGTCTTCATCTTACTTGGTCTAGTTTTGTTATTGGGTACTCTTGGCTGATTCCTTATTTCTTACTGCAAATCTCTGCTGAGGTATTGGTTTTAGTTCTCTTTGTTGTTCTTGTAATTTGTTGTCTCTTCTTCCACTTCTATTGTGGCCTAAAAATTGGTTCTCTCTTAACTAATTTGCTTCTCAGATTACTTATTGTTTATATGCCTTTTAATCTGTTCATATGGATTATATTATTCTCTCTCTCAAGTAATTCCAAATCACTATTTACAAACTAACTGGCCCTTTTGAGCTGAAAACTTACGTGTTTATGAAACCACACACTCTAAAAATACAACATTTCAGCATTGAATTTATCTTTTCTTCTCCCAAACCTTCCATTTCTCACTAAGTCATAGCAGAAGTTATGACTCCACCGTGCTCCCAGCCTCTAAAGCGGGACAACTATTTATCCTTCATTCTAAAAGCAAGTCCAACTGATTTTTTTTCTCCTTAGCCTACCATACCCATCTCCTTTTCTCTATCTGCTCTGCACTAGACTCTTGCTATTACTTACCATAATGATTGCTAGTGTTAAATATTTTACCTGCTTTTGTCCCAAACTGTTTCAATTTTCCTGCTTTTTCCTAAAATGCAATTATGTTTATCTTTTCTCTTTAAAAAGGTATTCAATAGCAACAAATTGCATATATAATCACATTCGAATTTATCTGTAACACAAAACCCGTTTCATGATTTTATTTTTCTCTACCTCTCTTGCTTGCCCTCTCCTGATGTCATTTCTCCGCTTAAACTAGCTGTATAGTGCTATTGACAGTCTCATTGGGAGACTTTATGTTGTGTCTTTGTTCATCTCCTTCTTCTTTTGGCACCATATAGCACTTTACATATGGCTGTATTCTCTCATAATTTAAATTTTTTCTGAGTTTATGAGAAACTACATGTTGCTATTAAAACTGCAAAGATTATAAATTAGAAAACTGTGATGAATCCAGAAATTGAGTTTGTTTTATTTACTATGTTTAGTGACTAGCATAGTGCCAAAACATAAATGAATACAAGGTGAATAAACAAATGAATTAATGTCTCATTTCAGTTTTAGCTCCCTAGCTTACTATGCCACTGGAAAATTATAATCTTTTGTGTGTACATTGGAATATCAAGGCACTTCTATACTCATATATCCTAGCCAATAAGCAGTACCATAACACAATAACCAAAAGGGAAACAACATTTAGAGACCACATTTTAGTGGGGAATATCATAATCGCATATTTATAAACAGGATTTCATCAAAAGAGGAAACAGAACAAAAAATTAATCTCCATATGAGTGTTTACTTAGAAAAAAATCAGAGAGATTTCTCCAGCTTTCTATACACATATGCTTAGAAAATCTTTGAAGCTACTTGGAATAATATATGTATGAGCTGACATTTGATAAGAAATAACTGAAAACTCAATAACTTAAATATTATTACTTATTATTTTAAAATAATTTCTTCTTTTGCTACAAAGGAAATAAAAATTAGTGCAATAGAAGAAAATGCTTGGGAAATCTAAAGATTTTAGTTTCCTCTATATGAGCTATTTTAGCCAGTATATATGTACACATCATACACAACTTTAAAGAGAGATATTCTAATTCACAAAATGTGAGAGCAAATTTTATATTTTTTCTAAAAAGACTTCATTTCTAAAGAGCATTTTTAATTTCTTACATATATATATGCTAGAAATATTTCAAAGTACATTATCAAGGTATTTAGAAAAAGGTGAAGATAATATATGCAAAATAAAGTCATAGATGCCATTACTACAAAAGGTATATGTTGAGACATTGGAATCCTGAGAGAAAACAGTCTCCATTTTAGCTCTATGGAGTTTGTTTGTTTTGTTTTTTTAATCAGCTATCAAAAATAAAATACTTTAATTATAGTGTGCATAAGATAAAATTAAAAATTAAATAATTAAAGAATTTACATTAATTGCAGTGTACATAAGACAAAAATCAATTACTCAGCCTTGAGCCATTTTTCTCCTGAATTCATTTGAAGAAAACATTTTTATTATTGTAATTAAAAACAAAGGTGAGTTTTGTGAGCTTCTAATTACAATGATGCCCCTGAGATCCTGTGTCATAATGTCTGTGCGTAACACAGAAAAATGTTGTTAGGACAAGTCCTTGATGATATGTAAACAAAAATGTTGGCTTCCTTTTTTCATATTCATCAACACAATAAATGTCATGTGAATGAATATTTAAGCATGTCAAAAACCATAAAATTGCTAGGAGAAAATACATGTTTATAAACGATCCAAGTATTGCTTTACAAAAAAAAATACACATTTAGTATAAAATAATTAAGATACAATAGAAAAATGCCATAAATGTTCAAAACATAAACTACATATGCCAAAAAGTTACAGCACATGTAACAAATGGATAATTGTTATATTAAATAATAATTTATATAATTAATAGTTACAAATCAATAAAGATATAATAATCAATTCAATCAAATACATGTATGTAGCATACACAACTTTAAAGAGAAATATTCTAATTCATAAAATGTGAGAGCAAATTTTATATATGTATGTATCATACACAACTTTAAAGAGATATTCTAATTCACAAAATGTGAGAGCAAATTTTATATTTTTTCTAAAAAGGCTTCATTTCTAAACAGCATTTTAAATTTCTTACATATATGCATGCTAGAAATATTTCAAAGTACATTATCAAGGTACTCAGAAAAAGGTGAAGATAATACAGGCAGAACTCCAACTGCTGCACTACTTGATAGAGTTACTATGAGATGATGTATTTCAAGTGTGTATTTTTATTTATTTATTTATTTTTAATTATTATTATACTTTAAGTTTTAGGGTATATGTGCACAATGTGCAGGTTAGTTACATATGTATACATGTGCCATGCTGGTGTGCTGCACCCATTAACTTGTCATTTAGCATTAGGTATATCTCCTAATGCTATTCCTCCCCCCTCCCCCCACCCCACAACAGTCCCCAGAGTGTAATGTTCCCCTTCCTGTGTCCATGTGTTCTCATTGTTCAATTCCCATCTATGAGTGAGAACATGCAGTGTTTGGTTTTTTGTCCTTGCAATAGTTTACTGAGAATGATGATTTCCAATTTCATCCATGTCCCTACAAAGGACATGAACTCATCACTTTTTATGACTGCATAGTATTCCATGGTGTATATGTGCTACATTTTCTTTATCCAGTCTATCATTGTTGGACATTTGGGTTGGTTCCAAGTCTTTGCTATTGTGAATAGTGCCACAATAAACATACGTGTGCATGTGTCTTTATAGAAGCATGATTTATAGTCCTTTGGGTATATACCCAGTAATGGGATGGCTGGGTCAAATGGTATTTCTAGTTCTAGATCCGTGAGGAATCGCCACACGGACTTCCACAATGGTAGAACTAGTTTACAGTCCCACCAACAGTGTAAAAGTGTTCCTATTTCTCCACATCCTCTCCAGCACCTGTTGTTTCCTGACTTTTTAGTGATTGCCATTCTAACTGGTGTGAGATGGTATCTCATTGTGGTTTTGATTTGCATTTCTCTGATGGCCAGTGATGATGAGCATTTTTTCATGTGTTTTTTGGCTGCATAAATGTCTTCTTTTGAGAAGTGTCTGTTCATATCCTTTGCCCACTTTTTGATGGGGTTGTTTGTTTTTTTCTTGTAAATTCGTTTGAGTTCTTTGTAGATTCTGGATATTAGCCCTTTGTCAGATGAGTAGGTTGCGAAAATTTTCTCCCATGTTGTAGGTTGCCTCTTCACTCTGATGGTAGTTTCTTTTGCTGTGCAGAAGCTCTTTAGTTTAATTAGATCCCATTTGTCAATTTTGGCTTTTGTTGCCATTGCTTTTGGTGTTTTAGACATGAAGTCCTTGCCATGCCTATGTCCTGAATGGTATTGCCTAGGTTTTCTTCTAGGGTTTTTATGGTTTTAGGTCTAACTTTTAAGTCTTTAATCCATCTTGAATTAATTTTTATATAAGGTGTAAGGAAGGGATCCAGTTTCAGCTTTCTACATATGGCTAGCCAGTTTTCCCAGCACCATTTATTAAATAGGGAATCCTTTCCCCATTGCTTGTTTTTCTCAGGTTTTTCAAAGATCAGATAGTTGTAGATATGCGGCGTTATTTCTGAGGGCTCTGTTCTGTTCCATTGATCTATATCTCTGTTTTGATACCAGTACCATGCTGTTTTGGTTACTGTAGCTTTGTAGTATAGTTTGAAGTCAGGTAGCATGATGCCTCCAGCTTTGTTCTTTTGGCTTAGGATTGACTTGGCAATGCGGGCTCTTTTTTGGTGCCATATGAACTTTAAAGTAGTTTTTTCCAATTCTGTGAAGAAAGTCATTGGTAGCTTGATGGGGATGGCATTGAATCTATAAATTACCTTGGGCAGTATGGCCATTTTTCATGATATTGATTCTTCCTACCCATGAGCATGGAATGTTCTTCCATTTGTTTGTATCCTCTTTTATTTCATTGAGCAGTGGTTTGCACACATAACAATATTAACTTTAAATGTAAATGGATTTAATGCTCCAATTGAAAGACACAGACTGGCAAATTGGATAAAGAGTCAAGACCCATCAGTGTGCTGTATTCAGGAAACCCATCTCACGTGCAGAGACACACATAGGCTAAAAATAAAACGATGGAGGAAGATCTACCAAGCAGATGGAAAACAAAAAAAGGCAGGGGTTGCAATCCTGGTCTCTGATAAAACAGACTTTAAACCAACAAAGATCAAAAGAGACAAACAAGGCCATTACATAATGGTAAAGGGATCAATTCAACAAGAAGAGCTAACTATCCTAAATATATATGCACCCAGTACAGGAGCACCCAGATTCATAAAGCAAGTCCTGAGTGACCTACAAAGAGACTTAGACTCCCACACAATAATAATGGGAGACTTTAACACCCCACTGTCAACATTAGACAGATCAATGAGACAGAAAGTTAACAAGGATACCCAGGAATTGAACTCAGCTCTGCACCAAGCAGACCTAATAGACATCTACAGAACTCTCTGCCCCAAATAAACAGAATATACATTTTTTTCAGCCCCACACCACACCTATTCCAAAACTGACCACATAGTTGGAAGTAAAGCACTCCTCAGCAAATGTAGAAGAACAGAAATTATAACAAACTGTCTCTCAGACCACAATGCAATCAAACTAGAACTCAGGATTAAGAAACTCACTCAAAACTGCTCAACTACATGGAAACTGAACAACCTGCTCCTGAATGACTACTGGGTACATAACAAATGAAGGTAGAAATAAAGATGTTCTTTGAAACCAAAGAGAACAAAGACACAACATACCAGAATCTCTGGGACACATTCAAAGCATTGTGTAGAGGGAAATTTATAGCACTAAAGGCCCAGAAGAGAAAGCAGGAAAGATCCAAAATTGACACCCTAACATCACAATTAAATGAACTAGAAAAGCAAGAGCAAACACATTCAAAAGCTAGCAGAAGGCAAGAAATAACTAAAATCAGAGCAGAACTGAAGGAAATAGAGACACAAAAAAACCTTCAAAAAATTAATGAATCCAGGAGCTGGTTTTTTGAAAGGATCAACAAAATTGATAGACCGCTAGCAAGACTAATAAAGAAAAAAAGAGAGAAGAATCAAATAGATGCAATAAAAAATGATAAAGGGGATATCACCACTGATCCCACAGAAATACAAACTACCATCAGAGAATACTACAAACACCTCTATGCAAATAAACTAGAATATCTAGAAGAAATGGATAAATTCCTCAACACATACACTCTCCCAAGACTAAACCAGGAAGAAGTTGAATCTCTGAATAGAACAATAACAGGACCTGAAATTGTGGCAATAATCAATAGCTTACCAACCAAAAAGAGTCCAGGACCAGATGGATTCACAGCTGAATTCTACCAGAGGTACAAGGAGGAACTGGTACCATTCCTTCTGAAACTATTCCAATCAATAGAAAAAGAGGGAATCCTCCCTAACTCATTTTATGAGGCCAGCATCATCCTGATACCAAAGCCGGGCAGAGACACAACCAAAAAAGAGAATTTTAGACCAATATCCTTGATGAACATTGATGCAAAAATCCTCAATAAAATACTGGCAAACCGAATCCAGCAGCACATCAAAAAGCTTATCTGCCATGATCAAGTGGGCTTCATCCCTGGGATGCAAGGCTGGTTCAATATACGCAAATCAATAAATGTAATCCAGCATATAAACATAAACAGAACCAAAAATAAAAACCACATGATTATCTCAATAGATGCAGAAAAGGCCTTTGACAAAATTCAACATTACTTCATGCTAAAAACTCTCAATAAATTAGGTATTGATGGGATGTATCTCAAAATAATAAGAGCTATCTATGACAAACACACAGCCAATATCATACTGAATGGGCAAAAACTGGAAGCATTCCCTTTGAAAACTGGCACAAGACAGGGATGCCCTCTCTCACCACTCCTATTCAACATAGTGTTGGAAGTTCTGGCCAGGGCAATTAGGCAGGAGAAGGAAATAAAGGGTATTCAATTAGGAAAAGAGGAAGTCAAATTGTCCCTGTTTGCAGACGACATGATTGTATATCTAGAAAACCCCATTGTCTCAGCTCAAAATCTCCTTAAGCTGATAAACAACAGTGAAGTCTCAGGATACAAAATCAATGTACAAAAATCACAAGCATTCTTATACCCCAATAACAGACAAACAGAGAGCCAAATCATGAGTGAACTCCCATTCACAATTGCTTCAAAGAGAATAAAATACTTAGGAATCCAACTTACAAGGGACGTGAAGGACCTCTTCAAGGAGAACTTCAAGTGTGTATTTTTAATATAAAGCATGCAGTAAGCTGAATAAATGGCTCTCCTTCACTACTTAGTTATATTGTACTTACTGCACTACAGTCTACTGAAAATTGTTGCTAGGATATTGAAATTAATGGCGAGCAAGACATGTCTTGAAGTTTGCTAAAGACAATTTAAAAAAATATTTTGTTATTTTTGGTAGATAATACATCCAATTACATCTTGGACTATTCAAATATATTTTAGTAAGAAACTTGAAAATTTCAGGAAAATCTCACATCCTTTTTTACTTTTTCTTTATATTTAACATTAGCTGTGATTTCTTCTAAGATTAGAGTACCTATCAATTATTTATGGCAAGATCATTCTATCATTTTTGCTTTTTCTGGGACTTCAAGGCTTTGCTGACGTTTAGGATACATTAAACCCTGAAAAACACAAAATCTTTGTGATAGATGATGCTTAAGTAGTACTCAAGTAATAAAAACGTTATTTTTAACCTGTGTCAATAATGGCTATTAATATATTATTTTAAATAAACTATCATTGACAAAATCTTGTTCAAATATTAAGATTAACACTTCCCCAAAGGAAGTATTTACTTTTTAATCTATATGTAGGATATTAAATCACATAGAATTATAGTTAAAATAACCTATATATCAAAGTTTTATGTATGCAGGAAAAACACATTTTGAACAATTTTTGCGTTTTATCTCAACTCAATTTCACTCTTAGAATGAAAGTTATTTAGTCAGTATTTAGTCTGTGTAACCCAATCTCTTCTGTCAAGAACCAGAATATTGGTGTCTTCTATCCATTTAATTTATAAGCAGAAACACAAGCATTATTGTCTCAACAAATTTAGCATGATTTCTTTCTGTTGTTTAACTTCTATTTTAAGTTCAGAGGTACATGAGCAGGTTTGCTATATAGGTAAACTTGTATCATGGGGGATTTGTTGTATGGATCATTTCCTCACCCAGGTATTAAGCCTAGTATCTTTAGTTATTTTTCCTGATCCTCTTTCTCCTCCCATCTTCTACCCTCCAATAGTCCCCAGTGTAAGTTGTTCCCCTCTGTGTGTCCATGTGTTGTCATCAATTAGCTCCCACTTATAAGTGAGAAAATGTGGTATTTGGTTTTCTGTTCCTGCATTATTTTGCTAAGGAAAATGGCTTCCAGCTCCATTCATGTCCTATAAAAGTCATGATCTTTTTCTTTTTTATGGCTGCATAGTATTCCATGGTGGTGTTACATGCACCACATTTTCTTTATCCAGTCTATCACTGATGGGCATTTAGGTTGATTCCATGACTTTGCTACAGTGAATGGTGCTGCAATGAACATACACATGCATGTGTCTTTATAATAGAACAATTTATATTTCTTTGGGTATATACCCAGTAATAGGATTGCTGGGCTGAATGGTATTTCTGTTTTTAGGTCTTTGAGGAATTGCCACACTGTCTTCCACAATGCTTGAAAAAGTTTACATTCTCACCAACAGTGTATAAGTGTTCCTTTTTCTTTGCACCCTCACAAGCATCCATTATTTTTTGACTTTTCAATGATAGCCATTCAGATTGGTGTGAAATGGTATCTCATTATGGTTTTGATTCGCATTTCTCTAATGATCAGTGATATTGAGCATTTTCTCTTTCATATGATTTTTGGCCGCATCTATGTCTTCTTTTGAAAAGTGTCTTTCTTTCAAAAACTAAGTTACAGCCTCAATATCTACGGTGATAGATACATAAATTCTAGTGATCCTGATATATCTTATTTAAATATATCTCTAAGATGAAGATTTCCTCCTGATTTTTTCTCAGAATTACTTGAAATTATATTTAAGCCAAATTCTATATTGAACAATGTTGTAGAAAGGATTAACATATGTGCATGAGTGTGTGTTTGAGTCTGTGTGTACAGGTAAGGTAATTCCACCATAACTGTCGGATTGTTGTAAGAAATATTAGCACTGAGCACTGAGAAATATTAGCACTGAGCAAAAGTCTAAAAAATTACTAAAATCCCTTCCAATTCTCATTGCGAGTCATGCTGGGAGACTTCACAAGAATTCCAGGGAATTTAGGCATTTTTGTAAAGAATAAATTTTATAATAGCATCAACAGTGTGTGTGTGAGGAGCTGTTGGTATCTTTATTAACAAGAACAAAAACTGTTACACCTGTCTAACTATTTGAAATTGTGTCAAAGAAAGGGGTCTCGATACATTTATTTTTCTCAGCTCCAGCATGAGGGGAAAGAAGGGTTGGTTCTGAAACCCTTCTGAAATGTGGCTTAGCCACAGTCATCAGCAGTTCCTATCATAGTGGCAGCAGAAATAATGGAGAAAAATCAGTTTTTTGCAATCATCTCAATTTGCGCAAGTACAAAAGCTCTTTTATTGATTCATTTTTTTACAAGTCAGGGAAGGTGAAAGATATGCTCCAATCTAGAAATGTTTTGACTAACTAATGGTAGTTAAAAACACTAATTGAACTTGCAAAGTACAATTCAGCTTTGGAAAAAATATGTATCCAGGATTTAAAATGTTTATGAGTTTCATCAAAATCATAAAAATGTGGTAACATAAATTATGCTCCTTTATCAATATTCCAAAAAATATACAACTTCCTGTAGCTATTTTATATAATTAAAAAGTATTTAGAAAGATTTCTGTTGCTTGAAGATTTTGAACAAATTATTTTCAAAAGAAAAATATATTTAATGTACTAAGGTAGCCAAGGAAAAATACAAATGTCTTTGGGGGATTTATAATATAAAGAATAAATCACATACTGCATTTTTCCGTTGATTTGTCATATTTTCAATTCTTTCTTCCATTAAAATTATTTTTATGTTTCATTACTCTTATGTCTACTTTACCAATGTTTTTGCTTCCACCTTATTTTCTTTATCTTTCCCTCCTTCCCTTCTTACTTTTTGACACTTCAGTTGAATATGGCAAATATTTAACAGCACTATTTTTCAGGCTCTAAGCTAAGAAAACCGGCACTTAGAGACTCATAACTTCTCCATCCCCACTTTCAAAGCTGCTTCTCCTCCTCATTCTCTTATCTTCTGTATTTTGTTATTGTTATTGTCATTATATGATTGATAGATGTGCTCACAAAGGAGGCCCAACATAACTAAGAGTTAAACATTAAGTAAGTACATACTGAATACAATTTTCCAGCACACAAGAAAGACAATGTATTCAACACTAGATAGAATAAATTATATTGGCCACTGGCAATTAACATAAATCATGGTTTCCTAAGTGGATAGTCATTCATTTTGAAGTAGGGAATAAGCGATACTGTATTTTAGCTTCATAAGTCCACAGGTGCATCTTGCAAGAGAATGCTATGGTTAGAATGTTTGTGTTCCCCTCAGATTAATATGTTGTAACCTAATCCCCACTGCAATAGTATTAAGAGATGGAGCCTTTTGGGAGGTAATCAAATCATGAGGGTGAACACTTGTGACTGTAATTAACGCCCTCATTGAAGAGACTCAAGAGAGCTTGTTTTCTCCTTCAGCCGTGTGGGACACAGCAAGAAGTTGCCATCTTGGAAAAAAAGAACAAGCCCTCACCAGACACTGATCTTTACTGATCTGCTGGCACAATTATCTGTGACTTCCCAGCCTCCAGAACTATGAGGGATAAATGTCTGTAGCTTATAAATTATGCAGTCTGATACATTTTATTATAAGAATCCAAACAGACTAAGACAGGTACCCATATTAATTAATTATGAAAGGTTTTTCGAACTTTTGTATGCTTAAATGATCTTGTGCAAGTAAACAACCCTTTCATATTTCACTTTAACATATTTTTTATTAAATTTTATTTTAGAAATTTTATAAAGAATAAAAATTAAATATCTATTTGAGGCAAACTGTGTACATCTTTATATCATTATTGGAATTAACTGCTAGTCCATTCAATGCATATTAATCAAGTACCAGGCATTGTTCTCAACATTGAGGAAAGGCACATATAATACAAGAATGGTTCCTGCCTTCATGGAGTTTACTTTTAAATAGAAAAGAGAAACAGTACATCCTTAACGCACACACACAGAGTCATATACACAGTCACACATACACACACACACACATAATACTGCAGATTATGACAAGGAAGTGATCAGGTATGTGTGAGAGAAAGTAATAGAAAATATGTATTTATATAGGTAAGTCAGAGGTGTACTTTCTAAAGAAGTAAGGTTTCTGTTGAAATGTAAAGAGTAAGGTGGAAATCAGTTGTATGAAAAAGCTGTAGGGAAAATAATACAGACATGGGTACAGATTGTGTTCAATACCAAGGTGCCTAGACTATATTGAAGCATAACATGAGGTGCCAGATATGCATATAAAAATTTGAAAAACTGAAATCCCACACTTTGGAAGGCCGAGGCAAGTGGATCACGAGGTCAGGAGTTTGAGACCAGTCTGGCCAACGTGGTGAAACCCCATCTCTACTAAAAATACAAAAATTAGCTGGGCGTGGTGGCACATGCCTGTAATCCTAGCTACTCGGGAGGCTGAGGCAGGAGAATCGCTTGAACCCAGAGGCGGAGGTTGCAGTGAGCCGAGATAGTGCCATTGCACTCCAGCCTGGGCAACAAGAGCGAAACTCTGTCAAAAAAAAAAAAAAAAAATTGAAAGACACTCATGGTCATGAAATTGTGTTTCATGGTAGTTGAAATAGGAATGATTTAGTTGGGTTTTAACAATATAAAGACATATTTTTAAAAATATATTTTAGGCAGGCAATTGTATAAGCAGGGACTCTGGTTAGAGAAGCTAACAGTAGTTCAGAGAAAGAGGATGACAGCCATAATTGGTATGGTGGAAGTAGAGGTTGAGAAAGATGGCAGAACCATTAACTTTACCTTCGGGAGTAGAATAAATTAGATCTTTGCTAAGAAATTGATAACATGGACATTTCCACTAATTGCCTTGACAATCGGGGAAGTTTCAGCATCATTTTTGAGATAGTGCCAAATGTGGTAGGAAACATTCAGATTATTTCTCCTAGCCATGTTATATTTGGGATGCCTATAAGAATTAAAGAAAATATTCCAAATAGCCAGCAGGGTACACAAGATCAAAAGATAAATATAAACCAGAAATTTGAAAAAGAGAATAACTATTATTGTATTCGTGTTTAAAATTATAGAATTTAATAAGCCTACTCAGAAATAAATTGCAGACAAGAAGTCCAGGCCCTGAAGAAATTAATATTAGAATGTCTTTTGGAAAAGTAAGAAGATAAAAATTAAAGAACTTCATTTTGAAAATCCTAGAAGTGTTCTGGACCAAAAGAAAAAAAAAGGCCTGGAAATCTATTGTAGGTGGAATTCCTGGGGAGAAGAAGTATGAATAATCCAAGGTAAATACTATCAATTCATTTCATCATTATCATTACACACCAAGGAGATGAGAGAAAAAGAAGGAAAAGGAAGGGGCTCAAAAGTATGTGAATGAGCTTCTCATGGCACATAGACTGACACCTAATAGGCTGTCAAGTGCAGCACACTACCATGAGAAAAGCTAAAACAATTTTGGAGTGGTGAACTAAGGAGGTAAATATAATGAATTAATAATAATCAGATTGCTACAAAAAGATCACAGATATACCACTTCATATGTTTTAACTCAGTTTGAGCTTGTTTTTTGGTATTTCTGCCCTCAGTACACAATAGGTTTTAAATTCTTTTTACATTATGTTGTGTTGAGGGTCATTTTGTTTGGCAGAAACTTTTCTCAATGTCTGCTCTTCCCTTTGCTTTAGATTTTCTCTTTGCAGTGAATCTCAGTGGTAGTTTCTCTCCATCTTCTTCTATCACTTGCAGATGTCTCCACTCTGATGGATGACAGCTGAAGAGTTAATTTTCTAATTAAACCCAGGCCTTACGCCAGCATTCATCAATGTATATTTGGGGTGTTTCCTTCTCAGTGAGGATTCCCCAGTTGTAATTTTGAGCTCAAACGGTTTCGCTTTGCTTTTTCAAGCTCCCTTTCCCAGGTGTGATGTATTTTCACAAGTGTAAAAAACCCCAAACTTTCACTGCCCAAAGTAAATATTAACACTATTCTTTACCTGGTAACTCCACTAACAGTTAACATTTTATTTTAGTACCTCTTACCTTTCTATTTACTTCGGAAGTTCAATTTTATTATAATATTAAGGTGAAAAAACACTTTTTTATACCTAGTTAATATAACAGAGTTTGTTGTATTTTATGTTTTAGAGGGACTTTTATTATTCTTGAAACTTGTATGTAGTATAATAAATAATCCATTAGGTTACTGTTAGAATAAAAATTCTCTAATTGTTCTATACAATGATATATTTTAACTTCCTTGAGAAACAATCTAGTGTAAAAAGCAATAAATCTGACATTGTGTTTGTTGGTCAGATATTTAAATAAAAATTAATGAAATAAAAGTAAAAAATAATGAAACAATGCTTATGCAACATATGTAATGCAGAAATAAAGTGCCTAAGGGAAATGTTTATAATGGGAAAAATTATGGGGGTATGTTAATATAAATTTTCTTAGTCAAAAATTTCTTGGAAGGACTATTTCAAGATTTTACAGAAAAGCAAATTATATGATTAAGAATTTACCCCTTTGGATGTGGATCCATTAAAATTCCAAATGGAAATAAAGAAAAGATATGCATTTTTCTGGAGGTATTAATATATATCTTCCTTAAAATGAATGAATGAAATTGTTGGTAGATAGTATCCCAATTTCTACTAATTTGTGTTTAATCACCAACAGCTTATCCAAGTGAGAAAGAGAAGAGACACAGGGAGAAACAAAGAGAGAGAGAGAAAGAGATGTCATTAGTTGGTTAATAGGGTAATTAACCCATTTTTAAAGACTTGATATTTTAGAGAAGTTTTAGGTTCATAGCAAAACAGGGAGGAAGGTATAAAGATTTTTCATATAGAAAGGGACTTAAAATGTCATAGAACATAAATACTATGAAAAACTATGCATGGATTCCAAGATTTTTTTGTGCAAAATAACTTTATACTAACCTGTAGTAACATGTCTGAACAGACTCTAGTTTGAATCACTAAGAAGGATGAGACATCAGTCTGAAAAGAGCCCCTATTAGAGTAACATAAATTTTGCTAAAATTTAAGCAAGAGCAAACATCAAATTTATGGTGAAGCTTAGGTAGAAAAATAGTGAAATCACTGATGCTTTATAAAAATTTTATGGAAATAATGCCCGGCATAAATCAAACGGATAGCTTGTACTGAGAAGTAACAAGACAATGTTGACATTGTTAAAGAGGAAGCCCACATTGGTCACAACAATTTATGAGAAAAAAAATTAATCTTGTTCTTGCCCTAATTGAAAAGGACTAACAATTTAACAGCAGAAACAATAGCCAACACCATAGGCATCTCAATCGGTTCAGCTTGCACAATACTGACTAAAAAACTAAAGTTGAGCGAACTTTTCACTCAGTAAGTGGCAAAACTAAAAAATTAAAGTTGAGCGAACTTTTCACTCAGTAAGTGGCAAAACCCTTGTGCCAAGGTCAGCGGTAGACAAGGGCAGAGCTTTAAACGGAAATTTTCAAAAAGTGAAATCAAGATCCTGAAACATAATCTTGAAGAATTATGATGGGAGATAATACATGGCTTCACTGGTGCAATTCTGGAGACAAAGCACAATCAAAGCAACGGCTACCAAAATGTGGAAGTTGTTCTGTCAAAGCAAAAGTGGATCAGTCAAGAGCAACGATCATGGCAACAATTTTGGGAGGTTGCTGAAATATTTTGCTTGTTGACTTTCTGGAGGGCCAAAGAAATATGACATCTACTTATTATGCGAGTGTTTTGAGAAGGTTAACCAAAGCTCTAGCAGAAAAATCCCCAGGATGCTTCATCAGAGGGTCCTTCTCTACCACAACAATACTCCTGCTCAGTATTGTTATCAAACCAGGGCAATTTTGTGACTTTCCATGGCAGATCATTAAACATCTACTTTACAATCTGCAATCCTGATTTGGCTCCTCCTGACTTCTTTTTGTCTCCTAATCTTAAAAGATTTATAAAGCACTTTTATTTTTCTTCAGTTAATGACATAAAAACAACTGCATTGGCAGTTGAATTCCCAGCACCCTCACTCAGTTCTTTATGAATGAACTGAATGGCTGGTATCATCACTAACAATTTCTCAACATTGATGGAGCTTCTGTGAAGACATAAAGCTTATGTTTTTTTATTTTTATCTTTTAATTGTATTTTCCACAAAATTTATCGAAGTCCCCTTATTACTGCCTGCTAGCTACAGCACATGCATAGCCTCCTGTATCATCCGCATCCCCCACCAGAGTGGTATGCTTGCTACATTTAATGAACCTACATTAGACACATTAAATTCATAAGATAACTCAATGAATTTACGTATCATTGTCACCCAAAATCTATTATTTACTTGAAGATTACTCTTGGAGTTGTATATTCTACAGGTCTGGGAAAATGTATAATGATACATAACCATCATTATAGCATCATACAGAATATTTTCATTGTCCTAAAAATCCTCTGTGCTCTGTGCTTTGCCTATTCATCCTTCTACCTCCAACCCATATTTCATATTTAAGATCTCTTAAAATATCAAAGTCTTTGTGATTACAAACTTTTATTTTAAGCCAAGAACTATATTCCCAAGGGTGAAATCAGGAAAAGAAAACTATTATGTGAATAACTGTATGATATTATAATAGCCATTATCATCACAGTAGATAAGGATAAAAAGTATAATACTCATTATGAGATCATTAATAGTTGTCTATGGAAAAATAATTGCTAATTATATTTATAAAAATACATCATTTTTACTTACTTTCTTTTTGCTCACCAAATCCCAAACTAACTTAGCCTTAACTTTCTCTATGGTGATGTGTTGAAGTTGACAGCCTATTAAAGATCTATGTGTGTACCATTAGAGCTCACTCTTTGGCTGTTTTTTTGGCTTCAATCTATAACAGTCAGAATTAGCCTTTTACCATCTTTATTTTCCTCATTTCTTTTTTCCCCCTTCTGTCCCATCTTCTCTATGTAATGGTAAAACTGAAATGAATTGGCAATCTTTTCAAATCACTGTCCTTCTATAAATTCCACCTTCGGAGGAAATCCAGAGCATTTTCTGTAAGTGGAATTGCTTCCAGGATTTTATATTAGATGAATAGGACTTGACATATTTTATGCTGACAATAAATACACTAATAGGTTTTTTTTTCTTTTTGCCAAACATTTAATACTCTTGTCAGAAAATATATTAAAGTTATATTATATATTATACATATAAATTAGTTTCAGAATTTACTTTTAGATTATATTTATTTTATGTCTATGTCTCACGTGTGATGGGGTATGTCTATAATTTTTTATTTTTTGATTGATGAGAGTATGAGAATAATTTTAGAGTAACACCATGAAAACACTCTATGGATTTGTAGATGAATGAATGAATTTAAAAGAAGAGCATAATGCATTGTCGACATTTTCTCCAAGACCATATTGTTGTTAGGATAAATTTTGGATTCTTTATCATTGCATTCAAATATAGCTATTCAAATGTATGTTCTGTCACATCTCTTTAGAGTATCCTTTCTTCTGTCTTAATAAAATACTTTTGGCTTGTCTACTTGGCACGGTGAAACTCTACATAGCGCAGAGTTTCTCAGCCTTGGCACTGTTAGCATTTAGTATTGGATAATTATTTGCCGAGGGAAATGGCCTGTACATTGTTGAATGTTTAGTGGCATCTCTTGCCTCTACTAAATGTCATTTGTGTCATTGTGCCCCTGTGCCAGTCCGGTTTTAGAGATAATAAAAAATGTAGCCTTGGTACTGTTGGCATTTAGTATTGGATAATTCTTTGCTGAGGGAAATGGCCTGTACATTGTTGAATGTTTAGTGGCATCCCTTGCCTGTTTCTACAAGATGTCATTTGTGTCATTGTACCCCTGTCCCAGTCCGGTTTTAGAGATAATCAAAAATGTCTCCAGACATTGCCAAATGTACTGGTATTTGGGGGGTGGAATGGGAACAAAATCATCCACAGTTAAAAATCACTGGTGTAATGGAAAGAAGCCGGTACTTGGTGTTATTTTTACCTATATTTTAAATTCGTTTTGCTACGGATACATCTTGGGTAAATTACTTAACTTCTCCAGGCTTCAGTTAAATAACAATTACCTTATGCAATTTGCTGCAAGAGTTAAAGGACTATATATAATATACATACATCAGCTTACATATATTAGCTTGTTGACTGCCTGAAATATAGTAACTACTCCTTAATTCATTCAACACTTGGCCAGTCACTTTTCTTAAAAAATCAGTTTAAGGGCATTTACATTCAGAAGTCTTCTTTTACACTGAACCTTTTAGCATAGCATATAATAGGCTTTATAATTCATTCCCACCCCTCCCTTCTTTGTCTGCCATAGTTTCTGAGTTTTAATCTGTCACGTTTCCTCTCACTGACTAGATGTAAATTGTTTACTTTCCTATATAAAGATCTACAGAATAACTTCTGAGAAGTTCAAGATTCTTATTTGCTTCTTCATTCCTCCCACTAGATCAGAGGTTGGCTTGTCATACATGAAGATGTATATATATAGTAGTATTACCCTCCGTATGTGTTTCCTAGAACCTTACTAAGAGGTCTTTGTAGGGGCTAGTGTTCTAGTCTTCACCAGCATCTTAACATGAGACATTCTGCTGTTATGTTATGCATTTACAATTTCAGAAAACAATAAGTACCAAAGTGAAATAAAATAAGAGCAATGACAATAGAAGCTAGAACAATAAAAATATTTATTTTGTTTTGAAGTGTTATGAAGCAACTTTTTTTCAAGTGTTATGAAGCTACACACCCAAAGTTATTTTTTAGTCTTGCTTTTTCTGGCCATACCATACTCTTAAAATAATTCCATTGACATTAACCATTGTGCTCTATTGTTTTGTTTGTTTCTTTTGATTTTATGTCACTTGTTGTGATCAGGAATAACAGAATTCATCAGTATTGAAGAAAATGTGAAGGAAATTGAGGAGAAAAAATGTCTAAATCTAAAAATGTTGAAAGGCAGAAATTATCTGGAAGGGTAAATCAAAGATATTTTTTAAAAAAAGAAAAGTAAGTAAACTGTTGTTATAATAACATTTCTTGAAAATATTATTTGTTCTTATTACTTTTTTGTTGCTTTTATATAAGTAACTTTAATGTATAAGTGTGGGTCTCTTCCAGAATTCTCCATTTTATTCAGCCATATCTATCCTTATGCTATAACCATGTTTACTTAAATAACATATTGGTAAAGTGAATGCCAAAATCAGGTAGTGTATTACTTCAAAAGTGTACTTTGAAAGTTTATTTTTATTACTCCTGAATCCTCTGTGTTTTCATTAATATTGTAAGGCATGTTTGTCAATTTCTAGGAAAGAAAAGCCTCTGCAATTATAATTGGGATTGTATTGAATTAATAATTTAAGAAGTAATACTTCAAAATATTTAGTTTTTCTATTCATGAACACAGTATATCTTTGCATATATTTAAGATTTGCTTAATTTCTCACTGGATTGTTTCATAGTTTTCAATGTACAAGTATTGCACCTATTTGTTTCAGATTATCCATAAGTATTTTACAGATAATGGAATTTTAAATATTTCCAATTATTTGCTGTTTGTTTATAGAAATATTTTTAATTACATTTTATTTTTGTTTAGTGATATTTTATACCATATTCTTGTTAAATTATTTTTAATAACTTTATTAAAATATAATTGATATACAAAAAGTGCACATTTTTAATGTATACAATTTGATGACTTTTGATATATATGTGTATTCATAAAACCATCACTGCAATCAAGGAAATATTTATCACTTCAGAAGTTTCTCATGCTTCTTTATGTTTTTCATGTTTGTTTTCTTGTTTCTAATGTTTAGTGCCAGATTTTCCTAGAAATTTACACTTAACATTACACCAAATCTCTCAATAAAAATTTTAAATACAAGATAACATATTGCTAAGTGTAGGCATATGTTAAACATTTCTCTAAAACTTATTTATCTTATATAGCTGAAACTTCATACCCAATGAAAAAATATTCTTCATTTTTCCATCTTCTCATCTCTTGATGACCACCATTTTCCTCTTTATTTTTATGTGTCTGACTATTTAGATACCTCATGTAAATGAAATCATGCAGTATTTGTTTTTCTGTGACTTACTTATTTTACTTAGCATAACGTTCTCCAGGGTCATTAACATTGTCACCTATGGCAAGATCTTCTTCCTTTTTTTCAGGCTGAATAATATTCCATTTTGTGTATATACGACATTTTAAAAATATTTTCATCATCAATAGACATTTAAGTTGTTTCTTATCTTGAGTATTGTGAATAATGCTACAATTAATATGTGAATGAAAATATCTCTTCCATACCCTGATTTCAGTACTTTTGAGTATATACACAGAAGTGGAATTACTGAGTCATATGGTCGTTCTATTTTTAATCTCGTGAAGAATTTCCATGCTGCTTTACATAGAAGCAGTATAATTTTACAATACCACTAACAATGTATAGAGTTCATATTTTTCCACATACTCACTGACATTTATGTTTTTTTTCTTTTTTCTTATGAGAGCTATTCTAACAGGTGTGAGATAATATCTTCTTGTGGTTTTGATGTACTTTTCCCTCATTATTAGTAATGCTGATCACATTTTTATACAGCTGGTGTCTATTTGTATGTATTCTTCAGATAATGCCTTTTCAAGTTTTTTGCCCATCTATTAAACAGGTTATTTATATTTCGTTATTAAACTGTAGGATTTCCATATGTATTTTGGATATTAATCTCCTTTATTAGGTGTATGATTTGCTAATATCTTCAACTAAAACAAAGGTTTCCTTTTCACTCTATTGATTGTTTTATTTGATGTGAAGAAGGTTTTTAGTTTGAAGCAGTCTTGTTTGTTTATTTTTGCAGTCTTGCTCATTTATTTTTGCCTTAGTTCCATGTGCTTTTGGTCTCATATCCCAAAAAATTATTGCCAAGACCAATATCATGGGGCTTTGTCCCTGTGTTTCCTTACAGGAGTTTAATGATTTCAAGTTTTATGTTTATGTCTTTATCTATTTCTAGTTAATTAAGTGATGTAAGATATGGGTTCATTTTTATTTTATTTTTTTGCATGTGAACATCCAGTTTCCCAATGCATTTATTGAAGGGACTATGCTTCCTTCAGTGTGTGTTCTTCATATTCTTGTAACAGATTATTTGAAAATATATATATGGGTTTATGTCTAGGCTCCTTATTCTCCGTCATTTATCTGTGTGCCTATTTTTATGCCAGTACCATACTATTTTGATTACAACAGCTTTGTAGTATAGTTTGAATCAGAAAGTGTGACACTTACACCTTTGTTCTTTCTCAAAATTGCTTTGGCTATTTGGCATCATTTTTTGTTCTTTATGAGGGTTTAGTTTTCCCTATTTTTGTGAAAATTCCATTAGAACTTTGATGGGGAGAGCACTGAAATCATAGATTGTTTTATTTATTTATTTATTTTATTATTATTATGTTTCTTTTTGAGAAAAGCTCTTACTCTGTCACCCAGGCTAGAGTGCAGTGGTATGATTACAGCTCACTGAAGCCTCGATCTCCAGAATCAGGGGATTCTCCCACTTTAACCTCCTAATTAGCTGGAACTACAAGAATGTGCCACCACACCAAGCTAATGTTTGTATTTTTTGAAGAGATGGGGTTTTGCCATGTTGCTCAGGCTGGTCTGGAACTCCTGAGCTAAAGCAATCCTCCTGTCTTGGCCTCTTAAATTGAAGGAATTACTGGTGTGAGCAACTGCACCTGGACTGAAACTATAGATTGCTTTCGGCAGTATGGACATTTTAACAATACTAAGTCATCCAATACATGAACACGGGACAACTTTCTATTTATTTGTGTTTTCTGTAACTTATTTTATCAGTTTTTTGTACTTTTCAATGTAGAAATCTTTTACCATCTTGGTTATTTCTAAATATCTTATTTTTTCCATACTATTTTAAGTGAGATTGCTTTCTTTAATTTCCTTTTCAGAGAGTTTGTTGCTAGTGTATAAAAAGAAGTAATTTTTGTATTTTGATTTTGTATCCAGCAACTTTACTGAATGAATTCATTTGTTCTAAAAGTTTTGCTTGTTTGGTTGTTTTCTATGTAAAAGATCATGTTATCTAGAAACGGAGAAAAAGTTTCTTCTCCTTTTTGATGCCTTTAATTTAATTTTATTTCATCTTAATTTTGGAAATTTTTTACTTATTTTCCTTGCCTAATTTGTAGCTATAGTTATTCTTTTTTAAAATTATTATTATTATTATTATTATTATTATTGAGTCTCACTTTGTCGCCCAAGCTCTGGAGTGCAGTGGCTCAATCTTGGCTCACTGCAACCTCTGCCTCCTGGGTTCAAGCAATTCTCCTGCCTCAGCCTCCCATGTAGCTGGGATTACAGGCATGTGCCACCACGCCAAACTGATTTTATATTTTTAATAGAGATGGGGTTTCACCATGTTGGTCAGTCTGCTATCGAACTCCTGACCTCAGGTTATCCACCTGCCTCGGCCTCCCAAAGTGCTGGGATTACAGACGTGAGCCACCACACTCGGCCTAGTTATTCTTAATAATTTTTTTCGTTTAATTTTAATGCTAATGTCCTGGCAAGGACTTCCTCTACTATGTTGAATAAAAATGGCAAGAGTTGACATCCTCTGTGATTCCTGGTCTCAGAGTAAAAACATTCACTTTTCTACCATTGAGTGTGTTAGCTATGGTCATTTGTACATGGCCTTTATTATCTTGAGTTTTTTTTGATATCTAATTCATTGAGGGATTTTTCATGAAACAATATTAAATTTTGTCAAATTATTTTTCTCCATCTATTGAGATTATCATATTATCTTAATCCTTCTTTCTATCAATGTAGTATATCACATTATTGACATGTGTATATTAAACAGTCTTTGCATCTAAGGGATACATCACAGTAGGCCATGGTATATGATCATTTTAATACCCTTTTAAATTAAGTTTGCTGAATTTAAAAGGGTATTAAAAATTAAAAAAATTAAAAATATTGAGCATTTGTGCATCTGTATTCACCAGGGATACTTGCCTCTAATTTTATTTTCTTTATGCTGATTTTCCTGACTTGGTGTAAAGGTATAAGCCACAAATAAAATTCTAAGCCCCCACAACCATCTGAATGGACCCCTCCTCTCCACCAAGGGTACTACAGAGTTAACCTGAAAAAGTAGGTCAGGACATGATGGAAGAGGCTTTGAAATTCCTCATTATACCTATTCTGCATTAACATCAACACAGATCTTAAGTCTCATTAAAAAAATTTACAATAGTCGGGCACAGTGGCTCATGCCTGTAATCCCAGCACTTTGGCAGGCTGAGGCAGGTGGATCAGGAGGTCAGGAGATCGAGACTATCTGACTAACATGGTGAAACTCAATCTCTACTAAAAATAAAAAAGTTAGCCGGGTGTGGTGGCGGGCACCTGTAATCCCAACTACTTGGGAGGCTGAGGCAGGAGAATCGCTTGAACCCAGGAGGTGGAGGTTGCAGTGAGCTGAGATCATGCCACTGCACTCCAGACTGGGCAACAGAGTGAGACTCCATCTCAAAAAAAAAAAAAAAACAGTAACAACAACAATAATAAACAAAAATTTACAATTTATTGTCTCTGAAGCCTGCTACCTGGAGCCTTTATCTGCATAATAAAACCTCAGTCTTCATAGCCCCTTAGGTGTAACCCAGACATTACTTTCTATTGATAATAACTCTTCCAACTAATTGCCAATCAGACAATTTTTCAATCTACCTATGACCTGGAAGCATACCTCTCCCACCCCCTTCTCTGCTTCAAGTTGTCATGCCCTTCCAGATAGAACCAGTGTACATCTTACATGTATTGATTGATGTATTATGTTTTCCTAAAATGTATAAAAGCAAGCTATAACCCAACCACCTTGGGCACATGTTGTCAGGACCTCCTGGGGCTGTGTCATGGCCACATCCTTAACTTTGGCAAACTAAACTTTCTAAATTGATGGAGACCTGTGTCCGATACTTTTGGGTTCACAGGGGCAATGCTTAACTCATACAATGAGTTTGGATGTGTTCTCTCCTCTTCAAAAAAGTTAAAATAATTCAAGAAGACTAATTGTAATTCTTTAAATGTTTTACCAATGAGCATTATTGTCATGGATTTTTTCCTTATCAGAAGATTTTTGATTATTTATTCAATCTCATAATTCATTATTGATCCTTTAAGATTTTCTGTCTTTATGATTCAATGTTAGAAGGTTGTATATTTCTAAGAATGTATCCATTTTTCTAGTTATTCAATTTATTATATATTGTTCATAGTAGTCTTTTATGATTCTTTTTCTGTGGCACCAGTTGTAATTTTTTTCTATATTATTTCTGAGAGAGTCTTCTCTCTTTTAACTAGTCTTGCTAAGGGTTTGTCAATTTTAGTTAACTTTCTTTAAAAAACATCTTTTGATTGCAAATTCATTTTAAAAAGGTGGTTATAGTTATTCTTAACACGTTTTTTTAACTCTAATGCTAAAAGTTAAAAATGATTCACATGCCACCATTACAGTAGGATGACATTTGTCTGTACATTTAACTTTGAATTTTATACTTTTAAATGCTTTCATGTTGCTGTCTTGCATCCTATAGTTTCAACTTGAAGAACTCCCTTTACAATTTTTGTAGAGGAAGTCTAGTGATGATCTGTCAGCTTTGGTTTGTCTAGAAAATTCTTTATCTCTCCCTCACTTCTGACTGACAGTTTTAATAGGTATAGCATTCTTGATTTTATGTGTTTTTGTTGTTGTTCATCCAGGGCTTTGGAAATATTACCCTACTCTTTACTGGCCTACAGGGTTTCAGCTGAAAAATCCACTGACAGTCTTATGGAGATTTCTTTGCATGTGATGAATCACTTTTTGATGCTGTTTTCAAAAATTTTTCTTTGTAGTTCACTTTTGATAATTTAATTACATGGTTTGAGTATCCCTAATCTGAATATCCAAAATTTGAAATGCTTCAAAATCCAAAACATTTTGGGTGCCAACCTGAGGCTCAAAGAAAATGCTCATTTGAGTATTTCAGATTTCAAATTCCATATTAGGAAAGCTCAACCAGTAAGTATAATGTAAATATTCCAAAATCTGAAAAGAAAATCCAGATCTGAAACACTTCTGGTTCTAACTGTTTGGGGTAAAGAATATTCATCCTGTATTGTGTCTTGGCAAAGACCTCTTTATGTTCAATATATTTGAATTTTTTTGGACTACATGAATCTGGACATCTATTTCCCTCCCTAGATTCAGAAAGTTTTAGCCATTAGCTCTTTAAGTTTGTTGTTCTTTTCTGTCTTTCTGACTCTCTAAGATTTCATAGTAAATATATAAATTGGCTTGACAGTGTCTCATAAGTGCCTTAGCGTTTTGCTTTGTTTTGTTTTACTATTTTTTTATTCCTTTCTCTTTAGGTTCCTATGACTCCTTCTGCCTGATCAAGTCTCCTATTAATGTACTCTATTAAGTTTTTCAGTTAAGTTATTTCATTCTCCAGCTACAGAATTTTCTTTATGATTTTTCTCTCTCTGTTGGTATTTCCATTTTGTTCATGAATTATTTTCTTTATATTAGTTTCTGTGTTCTCTTTTAACTTAATGAGGTTTTTCAAGAATATTATTTTAATTATTTTAACAGGCAATTTACAGATCTCCATTTGCTTACGGCCAGTTACTGGATATAAATTTTGTTTATTTAGTTGTGTTATATTTCGTGATTATTCATTATTTCTTATAACTTTGTGTTGTTTGGGCATTCGAAAACATAGCCACCTCTCTCAATTATTACAGACTGATTTTGACAGAGATCTTTACCTATCAACACACCTAAAGATTTGTGAGCCATTGAAAACTTTTTTATAGATATTGTATTAGTGCGTTCTCACATTGCTGTGAAGAATACCTCAGACTGGGTAATTTATAAAGAAAAGTCATTTAATTGGCTTACGGTTTCACAGGTTATACAGGAAGCATGAGGTTGGCATCAGCTCAGCTTCTAGGGAGGCCTCAGAAACTTACAATCATGGAGCAAGGCAAAAGGAAAGCAGTCATCTTACATGACAGGAGCCAGGAGCAAAGGTGGGGGAGGTGCTACGCACTTTTAAACAACCAGATCTAAGAACTCACTCAGTATCATGAGAACAGAACCAAGAGAATAGTGCTAAACTATTTATGAGAAATCTAGCCCCATGATCCAACACCTCCCACCAGCTCCCACCTCTAGCATTAGTGACTACAATTTGACATAAGATTTGGTAGGGACATAGATCCGAACCACGTCATTCTGCCCCATACCTCAAATCTTATGTTATTCTCACATTGCAAAATAAATCATACCTTCCCTACAGATGCCCAAAGTTTTAATGTATGCCACCATTAACTCAAATGTCCAAAGTCCAAAATACCATGTGAGACAAGGCTAGTCTCTTCAGTCTATGAGCCTGTAAAATCAAAAACAAGTTATTACTCCCAAGATACAATGAAGATATATGCATTGGGTAAATACTGTCATTCCAAAGGGGAAAAATCAGCCTAAAGAAAGGGCCTACAACCTCCACACAAGTCCAAAAACCAGCAGGGAAGTCATTAAATTTTAAAGCTCCAACATAATCTCCTTTGACTCCATATCCCACATCCAGTGTACATTGGTGTGAAGAGTGGACTCCCCAAGCTTTGGACAGCTCCACTCATGTGACTTTGTAGGGTTCAGCACCCATCACTGCTCTGAGAGGCTATCATTGAGTGCCTGTGGTTTTTCTGGCTGAGGGTGCAAGCTGCCAGTGGATCTACAATTCTTGGGTCTAAAGGATAGTGGCCCTCTTTTCACAGTTCCACTAGGCAATTCCCCAGGGTAGAATCTGTGTAAGAGTTTCAACCTTACATTTCCCCTCTGCACTGCCCTAGTAGAGGTTCCCCATGAGGGCTCTGCCTCTACATTCAGCTTCTACCTGGACATCCAGGCTTTTCCATACATCTTCTGAAATCTAGGTGGAGATGCCCCAGCCTCAACTCCTATACTTTGTGCACCTGTAGGCTTAACACCACATGGAAGCCACCAAAGCTTATGGCTTATGCCTTCTGATGCAGCAGCCCAAGCTGTACCTGGGCCCCTATGAGCCATGGCTGGAACTCAAGTGACCATGATGAAGGGAGCAGTGCTCTGAGGCTGCACAAGCTGGGGGACCCTGTGCCTGGCCCACAAAACTATTCTTTCCTTCCCAGGTGTCTGGGCCTGTGAAGGGAGAATCTGGCACAAATGTCTCTGAAATGCCTTTGAGGCCTTTTCCCCATTGTCTTGGCTATTAACACTTGGCTTCTTTTGACTTATGCAAATTTCTGCAGCCTACTTCAATTCCTCCCCTAAAAAATGGGCTTTTCTTTTCTACTACATGACCAGGCTGCAAATTGTCCAAACTGTTACACTTTGCTTCCCCTTTAAATATGAATTTCAGTTTTATATCATTTATTTGCTCATGCATATGGGCATAGGTTGTTAGAAGCAGCCGTGCCACATCTTGAATGTTTTGCTGCTTAGAAATTTCTGCCAGATACCTTAATACATAACTCTCAAGTTTAAAGTTCCACAGATCCCTAGGACAGGGGCACAATGCAGCCAAGCTTTTTGCTAAGGCATAACAAAAGTGACCTTTGTTTCAGTTCCTAATAAGTTTCTCATCTCCACTTGAGACCTTATCAGCCTGGCCATCTCTATCCACATCACTATTAGCATTTGGGTCACAACCATTCAACAAGTATCTAGGAAGTTTCAAATTTACCCTCATCTTCCTGTCTTCTTCTGAGCCCCACAAATATGTTCAATCCCTGCCAGTTACCCAGTTCCAAAGCCAATCTGATATTTTCAGGTATCTCTATAGCAATACTCCACTCCTTGGTACCAATTTTCTGGGTTAGTCCATTCTTGCACTGCTATAAAGAAATACATGAGACTAGGTTATTTACAAAAAACAGGGAGAGAGAGCAAGAGATTTAATAGGCTCACAGTTTCTCAGGCTGTACAGGAAACATAATCCTGGCATCTGATTAGCCTCTGGGGATGCCTCAGAAAACTTACAATCATGTTGCAAGGCAAAAGGGGAGCAGTCATCTTACATGAAAGGATCCAGACTAGAAACAAGAGATGGAAGGAAGGAGGGTGATACAGACTTTCAAGCAGTCATATTTCATAAGAACTTAATCACTTTAACAAGAATAGCATAAACAGAATGGTGCTGAACTATTCATGAGAAATTCACCCCCAAGATCCAACCACCTCCCACCCACCTCCAACACTGGGGACTAAAATTGGACATGAGATTTGGTGGGGACACAGATCCAAACCATATGAGTATGCACGTTGCACTTCTCTTCTTCACACTGGAGTTAGTGTTGGTGTTGCGTATCTTCTACATATCACAGAGCCACTCTAGCTGCATTTAGCTGTCCATCCAGTTTCCCCAGGACAGTTCACTGAAAAGCCAAAACATAGACTGCACATTCAACCTCTCCCTTCATCCTGGGGGAAAAAAAACACACTGTTGTGCACCTTTTCTCAATCTCACAGAATTGTGCCTGTTATAGTAGGTGGCCACCTCTATTTTTGTTTTCAGCGTTGCCCAGAAATTTGAACTATGCCAGTTGCAACAATATGCCATGTGACCCAAGACAGAAACTGGTCCTAGAGCACACTGAAAGGCTGGAACTTGCATACATGCTCTATTCTCTCATTCCAGAAAGTGAGAAATTGCCGGAGAGAACAATATCTGTCAGTACTGAGCTGTACAGGCTTTGGGGAGGTGCTGATACCAGTAAAGTGAAATTGCTGATTTTACCAATTTCAATGTGATTGGTCACAGTTTTATTTACGTCTAAGGTATTACAACTTCATTATTGGAATCTAGGCCACTCATAAAGGTATTTTGGTCTGTGTATTGTTATTAAATCTATGTTTGTACGGGGGGACAAGGGCTGACACCTGCTATTCCATCATCTTGCTGACATTATTCTCCCAGATCTTGCTAAAATTTTATTTTTAGTTTGTTGGTTGATTCTTAAAATTTTCTACAATTATGCCATCTGCAAGTCAAGACTGTTTCTATTCTTTGTTTCTAATTGGACTTTCAATTAAATGTTATTTGTATTGTTCAGAATAATATTTATTAAAATTGCTGAAGATGGACATCCTTGCCTTGTTTCCAATAATAGAGAAAATGTGTTTAATATAAAAGGACATGCTGATAAACTTGAATAAATACATTCCATTAAAAGTAGGTAAATAAACATGCCAAAAATTATTGCTTCAAAAGAAAATGCAAAATTTCTTTTTTAAACTTTAATACCACCACTGTATAAATAACTTTTTCAAATAAAAGAAAAACAACACTGAAATATAAAATTATATAAATGTCATGAAGAGGCAATACATAAAATAACAAACACAAATTGCTTACTACCACATAATAAATTATCAATCTCATTCTTAGTGAGTGCATATAAAACAAAACTATGAGATAATTTCTTCCATGAATACTCATGAAGAAAACATGCCAATGCTTGTAAATGTCTTTGGAAATACAGACTTTCATATTTAATGCTATTGGGTATATTATACTTTACACCTCTCTGTAGAAGAATTTTGAAATACATTCAAAATTCTCATAAATAATGAAGCCTTTGTTCCAGTACTAAAAACTGTATTGTAATATTTTGAAATAAGGTAAAAGAACAAATATTTGTGCACAGGATTGTTTATTAAAGGGTTATCTTTTGATAGTGATTATAAAAAAATACATTTCTAAAAGTAAAGAATTTGAAAAAAACGTGATTTATAAGTGAAGTGGAATATTACACAGCCTTCAGTGCCCTTTACATTGCAATTTATTTTTACCATTTCAATTCACTTAAAATATGTGATAACTCTTTTTATGTGAGGGAAACTTAAAAGTCTCATTGAAATTAGAGTCAGTTGTTGGGAGATTTGAAATGTTAATATAGGTATATTAAATTTACTCTGTTTTAAACCTTGTACCATTCTGACTTTAGTGTTGTGCCTCAAATAACATCCCATTAACCAATAGCTGCAATCCCCCTTTTCCCTTGTTCATTAATTATACTGAGTACTCTAATTAATTATGCATTAAGTCATGTAATGTCACATCACTATTTAAAATTATACAAATATTACCATCTCACCTTAGAACCAATTACTTAGTTTTTGTCATGTCAAAAAAGGTATACATTATCTGGTCTCTAGCTTCCTGTTTTTCCTATCACTTTGCCTCAACCATATGGCTTCTGCCACACTGATTTTCTTTCTGACACTGTAGTAACTGAACCCATTACACCTATCCCTCTGCTCTATGTTTACTTTTTTCTCTCCTTGGACGATTATCTTGCAGAGATCCTCATGGGTCATTTCTTCATCATGTTCAAGTCTCTGCACAAATAACACCTTATCAGAGAAGTACTCATGAATGACTAAGGTACGTAGCAGGTCTTTCATCACTTTAGTTGATTTTTATTTTAAAACCTGTCAACTCCGACATGTTTATCTGCTTGTTTTTTTGTTTATGTAAGTTTTTGTAAGCAAGAATGTAGATTTTATTGCTCACTATTTGGGCTTTGTTCCCTGTGTCTAGAACTTACCTGGGAACACCAAATGTGCTCAGTACATATTTGATACATTAATGAATGAATGTTTAGAAATTTTTTTAGCAATTTCTCTGAGTAAACATTGGAGACAAACTACATATTTACCCAATATTAGATTATTAACCAGCAGGTAATGCACACAGGTATTTAATGACTACATGACTTACCAAGGGTTCTTGACACAGTAAGCATTTTATTCTCCATGATGTGCTTTCTTAAATTGGTTTCCTGTGTACTATTCTTTCTTGAGGCTTTTTTTGTTTTTTGTTTGTTTGTTTGTTTCTTATCCTGCTGCTTTCTCATCTTCTCCTTTGATGATTCATATTTTCTCCCTATCCTCAAAAAGTTGAAATGCTCTAATTCTCAGTCCTTGTCTTCTTTTCCACTTCAACTGTACCAACTCCTTCAGTCACTTTATACAGTCCTAAGGCTATAATACTGACTACATGTAACTATAACCATGACTCTTATGTTTATATTTCCTACTCAAATGTCTCTTTTAAACTTCAGCTTCTTGTACTTACTTAATACTTCCAAGGGATGTCTAATAGCCAAGGCGAAGTCTTTCTGCAAAAACCATGAATTCCACCCAACATCTTTCTCAAGCAGGCTTCCTATCTTAGTTGATGGCTCCTATTCTCCTTCCTTTGCTCAGGCTATACAACTTGACTTGTTCTTTTCTCAGAAATCTCACTGCCTCTAACCTCTCTTGCCTATAAGAGTCTGAAATGTTACTCTCTGCTTCAATCCTCAGTCACAGATTGCTTTCTAAAATATGTCAAATCATATTATTTCTCTGCCCAAACCCTATAATATCTCCCAATTTCATCTTACAATACCTCTCTATGTCTTTACAATGGTCTGTAAAATCCCATATGATTTATCACTGATGTTCTGAGTCATTTATTGCTTTCATTTTTGTTCTTTCAGCTCTAGTTGCATTAACCTTCTTGAATACAACAAGTATACTTGCATTGTAGGTTTCGGATCAAACTGTTCCTAGCCATACTCATCTTCTACTTACTTCATAAGTTTTTTAAAAACTTTTTTTTAAATAAAGCCCAAACATACAATTTAATAAAACAAACTATGCCACCCCCATCACACACACACAATTAACACTCCAGATCATCTATACCTGGTCTACTGTTGTTGTTTTATTTTTTCTATAAAACTCATTGCCTTCTTACATACAATGTAATTTGTTTATTACCTAGGTTTAATGTTTGATGTTTCTCTTCTCTTGCTTGGTATGCCCCACATGGGCAAGGATCTTTATTTTTGTTTTTTGTTTTTTTATTGATATATTGCAGGCCCTAAATGAATACATTGTACATGGTATGTGATTAATAATCAAGTTACTAAATAAATGGATTATTTCCTTCTTATCTTTCTGTATTATGACCTCACACATAAATATTCATTATCTAATACGTGTACAATATATTTTGGTTTTCAGTCTTTGTGTCTTCTATCACCTTATTTGAACTTAAGCCATTTGTTGCTATCTAGCTAGATTTCTTTTTTGGTTAACACAATTCTAAATTTAAAATATTTTAACTTCATTTATAATTACAATAAAAGGGGCATGCATAATCAGTCAGAACATAGTTTACACCACAATTTTTATACTTTCTTGTGATAGCTTTGGACCATTAATAGAGGAGAAGCAGACTGAGAACAGGCAGGAACCTCCAGTTTAATAAGGAAGAAATGTTGTCCTTGCTATCTGTTTGGACATAAATAATATGTCTGTGAAGGTGTGTCTTTGAAAGAGTAACATAGTCTGAATTTCAAAAGTCGTTGTTAGTATTATACCCAAAAGTAGCCTTTGTATGGTAGTTTATTTGAAAAGAGCTGGTACATTTGGGAGATATTTAGAGATCAGCAGCAGTTCTAGAATCTGCTAGTGTACAGGAAATATTTACATCCTTTCATTTACCATGTGGCCTGACATATTTTATGTACACAATCATTGTTTATTTTAACTGTATGAATGTTTATACTCACATACACCAAGGTCCCTGCAAGAATGGGAAACAAACTGATGAAGTCTAATCTGAAAATTAAATAAAAAATAAAGTTTTTTTAGAATGAGACCTGCATGAGCGTAGGACTCATCTGTGTTGCAACTAAGAATGGATCATTGAATGTCCCGGCACTAGGCCATTATAAACCAGGTACAAATGGACTTCATGTTTAGACTGAATGATTAGGTTTAAACAAGAGTAGACAGATAATATTGATGTATGCTTTCTGTTTTTTCTCATCATTTACATCATAGTGAGTATAAAAAGTGTGGAGTGAGGAGTTAAGCAATCCTGTGGAAGTGAGTACATGGTTTGGAAAAAGCAGGTGTCCTCAGATGGTCTAATATCATTAGCTTCCATTTATTTTCCAGTAAAACCCCTTCCAATTTTTCAACTCCCTAAAATGCAAGTGTATTTCCCTCTTGTACCTATTACACTATTTTTACTATTAAAGTTGACTTTAGCATTTTATACTTTTTTATAACTATACTTACAGTTCATGATTTTAGCTTTCTTAGCTCTTGGAACGTATCTCTTACCAGTCCTTTAGAGAGTGGTGTCTTGTAAGTAGATAATTTATCTCTTCCACTTAAGATGGCATTCACTTCTCCAGGTTTCCTCCACTTATTAAATATTCAATGAAGTCTGGATTCTGTGCCCCACTTTCTATATTTTCATATAGCACCTTATAATGAAATCACCCAGAGTACAATGGAAAAGATTTTGCTACCTCTTCACTTAATGTTAACTCCTTAAAATCATGTTCTCTAGCTTTTAATTGTATGTAAAGCAAACTGTCAGTTGTGACAATAATCCATGAACACACACACAAAGAAAAGGGATACGTATATGAATGTAGGGTGGTGTGTTTATTTTTTAAGATTATCAATATTTTTGGAAAATCTTGATTATTCTTATTAACAACATATTCGAATGTTTATTTTTTAAATGCAAATCAAGATTATAGTGGAAAATATGGTATTCAATCAAGCTCAAAACTTTTGTTTTGCCACTTCTTCAAGAAAAGTATGCTTCATCACACCAAATAATGTGTTTAATTCATTTCTTTATTTTTCACTTGATGGGAAATTAAAAGCAATTGAGATAACAATTCAGTTACAAGGAGAAATAACTAGAAACAAAGTAGTGAAAAATTAAAATTGACCTCATTTAATTACTTCGATTATAATTTATAATTATAATTTAATTACGATTTAATGATAGCAGAATATTGCTCTCCAACATGCTAATTTTTTATTATGTTAAAGCTGATTGGAACTTGTCAACATTATAATTCTGTAACAGTAATTTTTTCTTTTCCTTTATAAACTTTATTTTTTAGAGCAGTTTAGGTTCACAGCAAAACTGAACAATTGAGCAGAAGGTACAAAGATTTTCCATATACTCTCTTCCCCCACACATGTGTAGCCTCCCCATTATCAACATTCTGCACAAGTGGTATATTTGTTATAATTATTAAACCATATTTTACATTAGGTTCATTAACATCTATATATTACAGCCATAGTTTACATTAGGGTTGCTCTTAGTGTTGTACATTGTGGGTTTGGACAAATGTAGTAAATATAATGGCATATATCTACCATTATGTTATTATACAGAGTATTCATATAGCTCTAAAAATATTAGTTGTTCTACCTACTTATGATAATTTATTTTTATGTTACAACTAATTGAAAGTCATCAATATTATAATTATATAATAATAAATGTTTTTAAGTGTCTGAGTTTTGAAGATTATGATTTGTCTGTAAAGAAAGTAAATTTAATCATTTATACACATACATATTACATATATGTATATATATTATATATGTGAACCACAAATAAAATAGGTTCCATTTGTAAGTTATAATTTATTATTATCTTTTAAAAATGAGGAATTTTAGTTCACATGTTTCTTTGGTTGATAAAATTGTATAGACTATTTTTATTAGCCATTTGATAATTTAAGTAAGTTGTGAAAATATTTAGGAAAGCCTTTTAAAATGTTGTTTAATAATTGCTTGAGTATCAAACTGAATTATATTCAGCACAATGATATTGTTAGAGGATTAACAAATTTATATACCTGCTGTGAAGTAACAGACAAATGCACTGAGACAACAGTGTTCGCAGCAGAGAAAACATTTATTGATCATATGACAGCCAAGTAAGGGGATGGAAAGGACCCACAAGTCTGTCTCCCAAAGAAGTTATGGGCGGCATTTTGTAAAAGAATTGTGAAAGGTGTAGGTCCAGAAAATTGTGGTTGTTGATTGGTCAGGGTTAGGGGGATGAAATCATCAGGATCTGAAAACTGCCTTCTTTGTTGAGTCACCTCCTCATGGGGTCCTAGGCAACAGCTAGCATCAGTAGTTTTACTGGTATGCAGGACCTGAAAGAATACTTCAGAAGGAAAACAAGATTTCACAATGATTAAGTCGTTATCTATAGAGAACTTAAGGGGAACTATAATATTTTGACAGGATCTACATGATTCTGGGATGATAAGCAGTAAAAACTATGAGGAAGCAGGTCAGAGAGCAAGCTGACCTAATCATTAGTGCTAAATGTGCTGCAATCTTGCTTCATTTTCATTTTTCCCCTCCCTTCTTCTCTGATTCATTTTATAAAGTTAATAGGGACAGTTTCAATATAGCTATGAAAAACAGAGCTGTAGTCATATTTAGTTAGAGGGGTAACTGAAATCAAAATATGTGTTTTTCCCTTCATTGTTTAGAACCATTCAGAATATCCAAGGAATAATCAGCCCTTTAACACAATTTGAAAGTTTCGCTGTTCAAAAGGAGTGGTATAAAGCCAATTTTGTCATACAAAATTATCCATGCCTTTTCACAATATCTTGCCATGATCAGAATCTAAACGCTGAGCTGAATAATTATTTACATAAAAAATGAATATAGCCTTCCTTACTTTTATGAAAAATATAAATACTTTCAGACGAGTATTTTTAATTGACTTAAATGTTCTACTAAAGATCTCAAGGTTACTAGAAAAATTCCCAATAATAATTTGTCTTAAAGAGAGAATGACTCAATAGTTTATTCAATAATTACATTTCTCTTTTAAAATAATTATAATTTCTATTTTTAAAAAATACTAAAATTAAAATACAAAATTAAATTTTTGCAGATATCTATGCAACTGTGATTCCCAGTATGAGAAGTTTTGTATTTTAGAAAATTACAGTTAAAGTAAATAGGATATTTAGTTGCCTGAGAAATAGGTGCTTTCTATTTTCTTTAATTTTGTAATGTATTGAAAAAACATATATTTTAATTGTAAGTGGCTGCAACTTATGGTAGAAAGAAAATAGTATAATCAAGAGATTCTAATTTGACTTACTAATTTAAAATGTATGTCTCACCTAACCTATTTCTTTAAAGAACATGAAATTGTGTAAAACAATTACAAATACTCCAAAAACAACATTGTTGAAAGAAAAAAATTTTAATGTATTGATTTTCTTTTCACCAGAGTATGTAAAATTTTAAAATTTGAAGATTAAAAGATTGACTTTGGCAACCATTTTTAATATGAAAGGCAGGTTAAGTAAACTCTTGCTTAAGTAAATACTAATTTGCATCTTGTCTAAATTATTAAATAAAAACTTACTTTCAATGTAAAAAAAATAGTAAAGCAAAATTTCCCTGTGAACATACAAAAGTATTTACACGATTGCTTTGTTTCACGAAATACTAATATCTTCTCCAATTGAGAAAAGATTTAGGAAAAGAGTTCTAACTTTGTCAAGTTGGCACACATAAACACAATGAATGAATGAATGAATGAATGAGTGTTCAAAGAGAAAAATATGTGCCATATAAAAGACTGTGCTATATAAGTATTTGATAAAGAATGCAAATATATTTTCACATATTTTGGTTTTCCATAACTAGTGAAAGATGGCAGAATATGGCTCCGAAATATGCTGCACTAAAATGGAGTCCTTATACTAAAATAAAGATTGTTTTAAGCTAGACACTTGAAAAACAGCAGATGCAAGAGGGGCATTTAAATCTCTCTTTCATTCTGAAAAAAGGAGATAAAAACTCCCCTGTGAATGATGCCCTTGGTGTATCAAAAGAAAATAAATATTCTTTGGAGAGTCATAGTGAGATAATTCTGTACACGCAGACCTTGTTAAAATAATTATTATCTTCCTTTAACCTCTCCACATAATTTGTTACTTTTCCACAATTGTCTGTCTTATTCAATTTAGTACAAAAAAATTGGAGGTTTTCCATTTCTTTGAGTATTCATTTTTTCATAAGAGCCCCCATTTCATATACAAGTTAAATTTGTTAATCTCTCTCACATCCATTTAATTTTCAGGAACAGCTGGGGACCCTAAGAGGGTAGAGGTAAAGTTTTGCCTTTTCTACATTGGTGACAAGTAAGATGGTTTAATTTTTGCTTTGTATTTTTCATATCTCACATGAGATACAATAATTAGGAATCTAAGGCAATAAGTGGAAAAAAAAAAACTACAACACATATCCACAAAATCTTGTATGTAGTACCTTAGGAGGGAGTAATTGCTATGATAAAATAATAAGGTAAGAAAGGCTATAGGAAGTGTTACACTGTCAGTGGGATGTTATCTAGAGTGTAGAAACTGTTCACTGAGAAGCTGAAAATGAAGCAAACAGTAGAATTAAATGAAGGTGTCAACCATGAGCAAATTGAAGGAAAGAGTATTCCAGACAAAGGAAAGAACAAATGCCAGCCTTTCCAATAAGATATGGAACATGAAAAGGATGCCCACTGACATCACTGTTATTCAGCATAGTACTATGAGTCATAGCTAGAGCAATCAGACAAGAGAAAGATATAAAGGGCGTCCAAATTGTAAAGGAAGAAGTCAAATTATCCTTGTTTGCAGATCATAATATTTTAATATTTGTGAAAACCTAAAGGCTCCACAAGAAAACTATTAAAACTGATGACTCCAGTTAATTCATGATACAAAATTGACAGACAAAAATCAGTAGCATTTTTATATGCCAACAGTGAACAATGTGAAAAAGAAATTAAAAAGTGATCCCATTTAAAATAGCCACACATAAAATTGAATACCTAGGAATTAACTTAACAAATAAGTGAAAGATCTCTACAATGGAAAGTATAAAATACTGATGAGAGAAATTGAAGAGGACACCAAAAATGAAAAAACATTTTATGTTTATGGATTAGAAGAATCAGTAATGTTAAAATGTCTATACTACCCAAATCAATCTACAGATTCAATGCAATCCCTATCAAAATACCATTCCTCATAGAAATGGATAAAAACATTGTAAAATTTATATAGAACTACAAAAAACTCAGAATAGCCAAGGGTGTCCTAAAAAAAGGAACAAAACTGGAGGAATCACATTACCTGACTTCAAATTATACTAGAAAGCTATAGTAACCAAACAGCATGCTGCTGGCATAAAAACAGACACATAGACCAGTGGGACAGAATAGGGAATTCAGGAACAAATCCATACAACTACTGTGAACTCATTTTCGACAAAGGTGCCAAGAACATACACTGGAAAAACACAATCTCTTCAATAAATGGTGCTGGGAAAATCAGATATTTATATGCAGAGGAATAAAACTAGACCCCTATTTCTCGTCATATGAAAAAACAAATCAAAATGGATTAAAGACTAAGATCTAAAACTATGAAACTACTACAAGGAAACATTGGGGAAAATCTCTAGGATATTGGTCTGGGCAAAAATTCCTTGAGCAATACCCCACAAGCGCAGGCAAACAAAGCAAAAATAGAGAAATGAGATCACATCAAGTTAAAAACCTTCTGCACAGCAAAGGATACAATCAACAAAGTGAAGTGACAACCCACAGAATGGAAAAAATATTTGCAAACTACCCATCTAAGAAGGAATTAATAACAAGACTGTATAAGGTGCTCAAACAACTCTATAGGAAAAATATCTAATAATCCAATAAAAAAATGGGCAAAAAATTTGAATAGACATTTCTCAAAAGAGGACAAGCAAATGGCAAATGGGCCTATGAAAAGATTCTCAACATCATTGATCATCAGAGAAATGCAAATCAAAACTATGATGAGATATCATCTCACCCCAGTTAAACAGCTTTTATGAAAAAGTCAGGTTATAACAAATACTGGTGATGATATGGAAAAATGGAGCCCTTGTAGATGGTTGATGGGAATGTAAATTATTACAACCACTATGGAGAGCAGTTTGGAGGTTCCTCAAAAAAACTAAAAATTGAACTACCATATGATCCAGCAATCCCACTCCTGGGTATACACCCAAAAGAAAAAAATATATATATCAAAGAGATACCTGCATTCCTACATTTGTGGCAGCACTATTTACAATATCTAAGATTTGAAAGCAACCTAAGTGTCCATCAACAGATGAATGGATAAAGAAAACGTAGTACATATACACAATAGAGTACTATTCATCCATAAAAAAGAATGAGAATCAGTCATTTACAACAACATGGATGGAACTGGAGATCATTATGTTAAGTGAAACAGACCAGGAACAGAAAGACAAACATCACACGTTCTCACTTATTTGTGGGATCTAAAAATTAAAAAAAAAAAATTAAACTCTTGGAGATAGAAAGTAAAAGGATGGTTACCAGAGGCTGGGAAGCGTAGTGGGGAGTGTGGGCAAGGTTGGGGGCCGGGGAGATAAGGATGATTATTAAGTACAAATAAAATAGAATGAGTAATACCTACTATTTAATTGCCAGACAGGGTGGCTATAGTCAATAATAACTTACTTGTATATTTTGAAATAACTTATATAGTGTATTTGGGTTGTTTGTAATTCAAAGAATAAATGCTTGAGGGGGTGGATACCCCATTTTCCAAGATGTGCTTATTTGACATTGCATGTCTGTATCAAAGCATCTCATGTACCCCATAAATATGTATACCTACTGTGTACTCAGACAAAAATAAAAAAAAAATTAAATTTTAAAAAATGCTTTATATCAGAAACTAGCTAGGCATTTTTTAAAATTTTTTTTAACAAAATAGAAACTAGGTTCAAAGTGGAGTAAGAAGACAAATGTTGAATCATTTGAAGACCTTTGCAAAAAGAAATGACATGGGAGGTGACTGGAGGATTTGAAACAGAAGAGAACATGAGCTAGATTAAGGTTTTAGTAAAATCACTCAGAATGCAGTGTTGAGAAGAGACTAAAATGGAGCAGTGATGAAAGCAGGAAGACCAACCTTACACATAATTTGCATTCACATATTTAAAAAACAATATAGCACATTGGAAAGCATGATGACATTTATCCTTCAAGTTAATTTTGTTAATTTTCATTTCATTTTCAGAGATACATCAGAATCTCATTTGTTATACTTTTATGCAACATGTTTCTTGCTTTTATAGTTCTGAAATTTAAATTCACAGAAACTACTAAAATGAGGTGAGGAACTATAGAATAGATTCAAAATTGTATGAAACTTCAATTACCAAGATGTTATAAAAAATATGAAATATGTCAACTATCAAACTACACATAAGAATGCGTGTATACATGGATATTTGAATAAACAAGTAAATAAGTAGGATACAATTATGTCTGTGCAACCAAACTACTAATAGATACCTGTGCATGTTAAAGTCTGCCCCAAATCATTCCTAAAATTAAGTAAAATTCTACAAAGTAACTCCTTAAGGGTAATTTATATTGCAGTTGTGAAACTGAAAAGGCCTTACTTCAAACATAAGGGTCAAAGCATAATAACGAAAATTTAACTTGAAGCAATCCAAATTAATATCAATATTTAGCTAAAGAGTAAGAACAAATATTAGTTAATTGAATGCTTATCTGGTATTGGAAAAAAACTAAGCCCTGTAATGAAGCTGGCCTGATAAAACAACTAACAAATGGATCTGCACTCTAAGACCAATGATATGACGTGATTGACATTAATTGAGAACATAATGAAGCCACAGAGACTTATTAAGGCCTCTGTCACCAATACCAGAGAGGTCTACTCTCAAAGCATTATGAAACCAACTATGATCTATTTGTGGGAGTATGTGTATGCTGTGTGTGAGTGATTAACACATTTCCAAAAAATATGGATTCCTGATAATTTGTGTGATTGATAACAAAGTATTTTATTCAAAGTTTGAAATCTTATTCCTGAATTTTATATGTGAAGGAAGTGACACCCAAATATAGTAAATAACTTGCCCAAGGCCAAAAGATTAATGTGAAATAAGGCTTAGAAACTCAGTAACTATTAACAGGTCCTGTATATTTTCCAATTCGCTAGGTTAGAGCTCCTAAACAAAAGTAACTAAGGTAAGTTTAATTAAGTAGTTGTTTGTGATAAGATGAATACAAATGCATAATTGTTGTAATACCTAAGAATAGACTTTTTTTTCTGTGTTACATAAGAAAAAAGACATGACCCAAAAGTTGGAGAAGTTAATTTGAAGAAAACAAAACAAAATGAAACAAAACACCAACAAAAATCTCTGTTTTTGATTTTTTGCTAGTTATTGCTAAATAGTATTTTCCAATATTTAATATGTAATTCAGTAATTATACAAATTGTTTTTGATAACTTACATATGAAGTGATGTCAAACTAATATTTTATTTTTCAACATTGACTTTTTCCAAAAATGCATCATAGTTTCTAATATTTTCAAGATGATAAACATTTTCTGGCTGAGCATTAATTGCCATCTCATTTCTAACATTGTCATATTTCTTTGGAAATCTCATTAGTTTCTGTGTTCTCTTATATACTGAGGAAATCAATATACCTGATGGAGCATTTAAGATAAATAAAATTATAGTTCATCATACAAATACAGCAAAAAAGAATTACTTTCATTAGTTTTGAAAAAAAAAAACTATTCAATTATAAACATGCTCCTACAGAAAGGATAATATCAAACTTTCAGAACAAAGTATAACAAAGAAAAAGGTCAGAATAACTTTTCTTTATTACTACCTCATTATGCTGACTTTGGCCAAGGTCCCATAGACCTAGTTTAATGAAGGGATAATGATAGCTCATCCTTTCCCATTTTTTGCTCAGTCAACTCAGTATTGTTCAAAAATGCTTCTGACTCTCTTTTGGAAATTCACATTACAAAGAGTTCTCTTTTTTTCTTTTTACAATTTAATGTGCAAGCACGCAATTTACTGACTTTTTTAACTATGTGACTTAAGCATGTTACATAACATACTTTGTATAATTGGATTACTAACAGTACCTACTTAATAAGGTTGCTATGAATGTTAAATTAATTAAAGCATGCAAATCATATGTTTGGCACATTGTAGAGATTAGTTAACCTGATTTATTTGCATTCTTGCTAATAATGATAATTCTTAGAATACTAAATTAAATGATTCTAGATGAATGTGCTAGATTTTAGAGCAGATAGGATGAATTAGAATTGGTTCCCACCTTAAAGGAGCTTACATATTTCCATAGAAATGACTTAGACATTGGGAAAAAAAAATCCATCAGGTTATTTTGCGTTATTGGTCCATTAATAAAATCTGTGAAAATTTCAATTAATGTACCCACAGAGCTCTGAAAATGTTGATTCAGCTTCCCTGAGATGTTCTGTGTAGCAAAACTCAATTAACTCTTATAGGTGTCCATAGTGTGTTTATACAAATATAGCCCCAATTCTCAAGGAAAATACCCCATATGCTTTTACATCCTTATTTTCAACTGTCACTCTTCTTGCTGTGCCCTTCATTTATCAAGTTATTTGAAAATACGAACACTAATGAATACCAAGCTACATCCAAACAAGACTTTTGGTGAATTTTCAATAATTTGTACAGATATAATTACATCATTAAAGACATAAAAATAAAAGTCAAGTAAAAAATTATTGATGATAAAAACAGAAGAATGAGGTGGGCTGGATATAGTATTAGAAATAGAGTTAGAAATAGGTACTTAGAATGCCTCCATTGTGCAGACTTGGTCTGCAGAAGCCAAATGGGAACAGACCAGGCCAAGGATATTCAGGCCTGCCATAAAAAAAAATGTTCCCACTAGTTTCAAATTCAAACCTTGGTATCCAGCACCATAATCTATAGAAATCATGTTCGTTGAAAAGGCCTGAAGATCTTAGGAATCAGGAATAAGTAAAAATAAAAACCAATACAATTTCTCTGCTTATAAACATAATGCTCATAATATAATATCTTAAAATTTCATTAAGGTACAAATCTTCTTGTGAGTCCTCTTTTCTCTCCAACTCTCCCTACCCATTCAATTTTTTATCTTCTTGTCCTCTTTTTCCTTTTTTATCTATCTTTTCTTCTCCCTCTGGAGAGAGTAATTATTTGTGAATTTTTTAGGCAATAGTAAGAAATTTAAAAGTTATGTTTGCAAAAGTAACATTAATTCAGTTATCAGTGGATATAGGGCCTAATGTAAAAAAAAATTCCTTAAAGAGCTGAATGGAGAAAAGACTATCAGATGTGCAAGAATAGTGGCAGCAAGACCAGGTAGGTTTCTTCAGTAGTCCAGGCCAGACGCTCTGGGATGTGTGGATGTGTTTGCAAACTGGAGCTTTTAAAGAAAAGTGATATGGTGCAGTTGCTGTGAAATGCTCCCAGCAGACAGAGACTTTGATTGTCATAAAATCCCTACTTCTAAAAGAAAACATTGATTCCTTCTAAATTTCACCCAGTGGTTATACTTGCCATCTGGAGCAATACAAAATAAATCCTCATCTTCTAGCTATTTGACAATAACATTTTGTCTCACATTTTATCACCTTTTAATCTCATTTTTATTTTGAGCAATACCTTGATTACATTTAAGAGGCTGTAAAACATATATGTGTCAAGAATAGTAACACTTTAGAAACACCTTACATAACCTATTCTATCAAAACATGCTTTTGTTCTACCAAGTTTATCATCATCCTGACATTACTGAAAATTTTACCCTTGCTTTCTTTTGAAGCATTTTTAGTAGAGACTTGGTTTCATCATGTTGGCCATGCTGGTCTCGAACTCCTGACCTCAAGTGATCTGCCCCCCTTGGCCTCCCAAAATGCTGGTGATGTGGATCTTCTTGTACTAGCAACCATTCTTTGAATTATTTGCTTTGCCACGTAGATGCCTCTGTGATGTAATGACTTTTTCTTTTTTTATTTATTAATTTTTTTCAAAAGCCATCAATAATATGAATTATTTTGCTAAATTCAACCAATATTTTTCTGAATTAACATTTTTCAATCAGTTGTGTGAAATGTTTTATAAACCCTAGAACTTGTTACATATCAACACATTGTCATACTTTATTATTTCACCTAGCAAAGAAGAAAAAAATTATTTGGCATCTATGGTTTCTATTTTCTTGTTTTTAGTATCTAGAATGTACCAATATAAACAATTTATCTATTCAATAGGGGACATAGAACCAGAAAGAACAACTTTTGTTTTTTTCAAAAAGACTTGCCAATTGAATTTCTTGAAGGATTATGGAAATCAGAGTAGACAGTCCAAGCCCAGATGCTATAAAGACAAACTAAGTATGTTCAAAAGTAAATCTGTATTCTATATGAAGCAATAAGGTTCATACCATAACAACTGATATCTACTTATGTTTGATTTTCACATTTGAAGGTGAACAGAATGTAAATACGTTAAAAGTAATCAGGTGGTGCCAGGTTGTGTCAGAATATTCTCCATCGTCCCCAAATTCTAACCTTCCCCACAGTGCGCTATGCTCCAAGACCTTTATGGATTATTTAAAGTGCCTAATTTGATCTCTGGTTTTCAACTGGGCTCCACCACAAAGAAATACCAGCAGAAGACGATGATGAGGCAACGTAGTCTTCAATAGGAATCAGCCATTGTCCTACACAAACTGAATGTATCTCTCCTGATACAGCGGTTGTGTTTTTCTAATAAACAGACACCTCATCTGCTGGCTAGAATAACTACAAGTCACTTCGGGTTCTGGTACGGTTCTCTTCAGGTCTAGGGGTAGTCGTAACTCCCTACTGGGAGATTCGTCCTAGGGAGTTATCCCTTTTTCGTTTGCCTTAATCCAGATCACCACTATGTAAACAGCCTCTTCACTGAACTCTCCACTTATTTACTTCCAGAATTCTTGTCTCCCCAAATTACCTCCATACTTTCTTGTGTTTATATTCTTCATATCACTGAAGAGTGAGTTCTAATATTATTTTTGGTCTATAAAATCAATCTTTTTCAATCAAATATTGGACATTTGGGAAAAAATAAATAAAACAACCATAAAGTATTTTATTATATCACCTTAAATTATTATTCAGTTATGAGAGTGGGCATTTTATTGTTTGATAAATTCAGATATTTCAAAAGGTATGCAAGGACTTGTATTTCAAAAAGCATGCAAATACTTGTATTATACATAAAATTCATCCAATACTTTTAAAAATAATACTGTAATGGATATATAATAGGTCATATAACCAATATATGATTACATTTTGATTGTGGGAAAATGTGGTTTATGTTATTCAGTTTACTGCAACTCCACACAGAATAGTTTTACAAAGTCTGTACTCCTTACTCATTAAAAGCTTATTCCCATCCTCATCAGTCTGAGAAACTTATTATTAATGATGTTCTTGAATAAGTAGAGAAATATAAATATTTTTATCAACATAATAAAGCTAGAACTTTAAAATTATGCTGACATTTAATAAAAACCTGCTCACTTTTCAGAACTTTCTTTTAGTTTTTCAATTATTCTTTGTTAAAATCTGGACAACATGGACTCTGTGCACTGTCCTAAAAATGGAAGATATAATATACACATTCCCAAATGTTGATCTGGGTTTTTGAGAGCTTAGTAATGGATTTTTTATAATGCTTTGCCAGACATCTTTGATGGGTTAAGAAGAGCAATGAAATAAAATTATCTGAATTTTGTAAGAAATGTTACTTATTCACATATAATCATAATTGTTTTAACTATAAACTTTAATTTAATATCAGGAGCAAATTCATTAATAAAAACAACAAAATGTAGCATTAGACAAAAGATATTTCATTCCTCTTCATGTAATTATTATAAGTTCTAGTGTTTGATAGTATAGTATCATGACTATATATAACAACAGTGTTTTGTACATTTCAATATGGCTAGTAAAGAAAATTTGTAATGTTCCCAACACAAAGAAACAATAAATGTTCCAAACGATTTCATTTTGATTTGATCATTACACATTATATACATGTATCATAATATCACATGTACTCCATAAATATGTACAAATATTGTGTTTCAATAACAAATATTAAAATTAGCCAATAGATAGATGTTCATATAATCTATGAATGACAAAATGTGTTATGTATGAATATGTGTGTATACATACACACACACACACATTCCCGGTAAGCCTGCTATAAATAACATTTATTATTCATATTTATTCATTCAACAGACATTAATGAAATTGTTTCTGTGCGCCAGGAATTTGTTTAATAGTCTTGCATAATATTAGATGTCTGATTAAGACTAGATATGGCTTATGAACATGTAAAGTTCATTTTGTACTTATTATATACATCACATTGTGATGAGATTTCAGGCATTGTGATTTCAGGCACTAATGAGTATATGGTTTAATAGATCTTAAATTATTTCTTTTTCTGTTAGATGTTTAAATATAGAATATAGAGAAATAAAGTTTCTTCTTAAGAAATAATACCTAGAATATATTTTAGCATTTTCTCTATTCATTTTAAGATATAATTTTAGTTAGGATTTACCTTGATGAACTATAATTTGTTTACTTAACAGATTTATATATGTTAATACAACATATTTTAGTCTATACTAACCAATTTTAATATAATTACATATATTAAAATGTTGCAAATAGTATAATAGTTACAGTAAATGAGAATGTATTTCATTCATTGAAGAAGACAATTGAGTTATTAAGGAAATAGAGTATTATGTAAACTAGGAAATCTGCATTTACATATATTTAGAATGTTCAGAAAAGATGCTAACTTTGAAAATTTGAGCCTCTCAAAATTCTAGAGTTCATGGCATATCCTTTCCAGTTAAATTTAAATATGTTAGAACAATTCTACTTAGCCCTCTGGAAGAATACTACATTAATTAGTGGTGCCCTACTTCAGACTGCTAGTTAGAAGGGCAAGCTAATTAAGTTATAGCTGCTACTCTTTCTTTACCATAAGCAAAGATATATCATTTAGGTCTGCCCTGGCTTAAATGTGAAACAAAAAGGGGATACTTCATATATTTATTAAAGTATTTTGATTTTGATTTTAGCTTTCTTATTTGTGTAGGATAACCAGATGCAGAAAAAGAAATTACATGCCCTCCCAAAAATAAAAGAGCAAAACGTGAGACGAAGTTTTAGTAAATACAATAGCACTCTGAATAAACCATTTTCCCTTATTTTTTGGATTTAATATCTACACATTTGGTAAATTTGTTAGGGCATTCATTTTTTCAAATTAAGCACATTAAAACAAACAACTTTCATATCATTTCAGGAAATTTTAACTTTCTTCCAACAAAGTGCTTATAATTTGGGAAATTATTTTAATGTGTTAAAGTTTGATTTAAGTTTACTCCAAGTTGTGTGCAGTAAATCTTCATGACTTGTAAATTATTTTTTACTCTTGCAATGCCATCATTTGTTTTTCTCAAAATCACTTGTTAAACTATACTTGCCTCCAGCCCTTGCCAATAGGTTTACAAAATCATGTGATATACTTGTGCCTTCTGCAAAATCCTGCCGCCTTCTCATAAAATTTAAAATAATGCTCCAGTTGAGTACATGATGAAGAGATGGACACTTTTAAAATATAGTACTGTGAAAACTAAGGGAAACATTTATAAACAAACAACAAATGAACACACACACACACACACACACATACACACAAACACACACACACACAAATTAATGCAAAAGAGAAACACTGAAAACCAGACAAGCAGATCACAGGATAGCTATTCTTGGATACATTGATTATTTATTCTTGGAAGTTAAACACAGCCATTATTTTGAGACAGATAAAGCAGAGTTTTTATCTTAAAACAACTTTGTATGTGCTATAATAGTCAAATCACTGCTGTAGAAGTATTAGCTTGGTGTGCATATTTGAAAAAGTTAGATAAACCTAAGTAACACAGCCATGTACAATAAGATTAAGAGCCACATGTTTTATAAAGTATCGGTCAAATAAATTCGCTGAAAAAAAAACAGTAATGATAAAATATACATGTGTTCCATGTCTTGCAATATATCATAGTAGGTATATATCAGCATATGAAAATGCACGGAAAACATGATGAAACATATTTCTAAAAACTTTAAAAATATTATGAACAAAATATAACTAAGATACAAAAAAAGTTGATAAAATTAGTGGTAAGTTGCTTTTGCTTGAGAATGTTTGTTTATCTTGGTGAAATCATGCTTAGTATTTCATGACCTCTTGGTATACAATAGACAGTGAGAAACTAACAGTTCACTCAAAAAAGGGTGTCTAAAAATGCTGGGGAAACAAAGCTTACATGGAAGAGTGAGCTACTGGGAAACCTGGGCCTTTTAATTCCACACTGGAGCAAGAACAACTGCTTGACATTGAGCAGGGAAGGCAAGTGAGGGAAAAGATCGCTAAAAGGTGCAACCACTAAGTCAAGATAATGTAATTTTCTCAGCCAACTTTTATGTTGAAGATGATCATACTGTAATTTGTAGTTGAAATGTTTCTGGACTGGCAGAGCCTCTAGTATCTGTTAGAAGCAAATGCAAATCATCTCTGGTGGAATCCACCTTCCTTCCAGGGCTCATAAAATTCTCCAAATATTTTTATAATAATCAATAAAGGTAATAAAAACATAAGGAAGCAGCTCACTCAGGATGAGAACCAAAAAAAAAAGACATGAAGTAACAGACAATAGATAAGGAAATTTAAAAACTCCAAAAAAGAATATAAAATATCTATGTTTAATTTGAATAAATAAATAAAAAGAAAACTTTAAAATTTCTTCAATTAAAAAATGGATCATGATTAGTTAACTTGTGAAAAAATAAATTTTCTTAATTACAAAAGAAAAATATAAATAAAAAAGTAATTGAATGAATATAAAAGCATATTTGTTATTACTGAATACAGAATTAAATTACTACAAAATAGTTCAAATTTTAGAATAAAATATAAGATATCTGAATTTGCAGAAGATGTGAAATAAATGTTAACATGAAGAAGACAAAGCTCAATACATTTTGAGTGAGCATCCACACACAGGGAGAAAGCAGAAAGAGAAGATATGTAAGAAATTGGTAAAAACATAGCTAAAAAGTTTTACAAAAGACAAAATGAATTAACCACAGGGGAAAACACAATCTTAAGGCAAAAATAAAGTGTTAGCAAAGTTTCCACTTAAAATTGAGGAACACAATACAAAGAGAAAATCTTTTCTCCAGCAGCAGCTAGGGAAAACAGTTTAAAATGTAACCTCAAGTAACAAAGGAACATATCAGATGCATATCAAATACAACGTAGGAAGTCAGAATGATATCTTTAATGTGTTGAAAAAAATCCATTGATATTCAACACAAGTTTATGTTACCTGGTACTCATAGCTGATGGTGGGTGTACAGATTGATATGACTCTGAGACAAGAGTCTATACATTAAACAAATGTGCAAATTTTGAGAGCCATTAAAGAATAGACAAAAAAAATCTACCATGTTATTAGATATAGTTTTGGTGGAGGAAAACTCAAACTATCCTAATATTAGGTTTCAGGCCAGATGTCAGTTTCATTTTTGTAATGTTTTCCCTGAGCCCCAATAGAACAAATATTCAATATGTGGCTGTACAAATATTAAAAGTAACAAGAAGTCAACTTATTGATTTTAAGGATGATACTCCTCACCGCCATAGGCTGCACAACAGCCTCTAAAACTGTGGAAGTCATAGGCTAGTTTACAATTGAGCTGAAATCTCAGTTTACAGGTCGAGTGTTACACAGTGTCAGACGCTATCAGATTTCAATAGAGCTGATTAGAAAAGGAAACAAGCTCAAATCTCAGTAAACATTTAGTATGTTTATAAAGTGAAGCACTGAATAGATGATTGATTGACAGATGGATTGACACTAATTAATAAGTTATCTTATACATTTTCACAATCAAGTTTATCAGAGCAGAGGAATTTAGCTCAAGAAGGAAAATAGCTATCTGATTGAAATATCCAAAAGTGAGAGGAATGAGTACACCACTGCTAATGTCACTGCTTTATTAGGTAAATAACAACAAGCATGAAATACAAGTTAGATATAAACTTTTCAAATTCTAAATTATTCATACATTATTAAATTACTAATTTTCATATGTAAACATCCTTAATTGTTAAGAAATAAATGAAATGTATTTATGTTTAAAATTATCAAAATAAACCTAGTCAATATTAGCTATATGAAGAAAGTGAGAAAACATATATAATAGAAATGTTCCTCCACTAATGATGAGGTTATGTCCCTATAAACTCATCAAGTCAGAAAATCAAGTTGTATGTTAACATAAAGTCAAAAATGCAGTTAATACATTTTACCTATTGAACGTCATAACTTAACCTAGCCCATCTTAAATATGCTCAGAACACTTACATTAGCCTACAGTTGTGTGAAGTCATCTGGCACATTATTTTACAATGTTATTGAATATCTCATGTAATTTATTGAATACTGTGCTGGAAGCGAAAATCAGAATGGCTATATGTGTACTCCAAATATGATTTCTACTGTATGTGTATCATTTTCTCACCATTGTAAAGTTAAAAAATCATCAAACCATCATAGGCTGAGGAGCAACTATGTATATATATATGCATTTCACAACTTATAAGAATGAACATAACAAATACTTTCAAGAAGCTAAGTGAAAGTAAGCTATTAATTTTATAGAAATACAAAGAAGAGTATAAGCATAGTTATGAGCAATCAAAATTTTACTATTCATAAATAAAAAATGTAAATGGACAAATTTGTCTTTGGAAAGGAATTAAAATATATAGAAAGCAGATGTTTTCTTCCAGGTTTTGCTGAACTTTTTTCTTTCAAAGATAAACTCCAGAAGGTTACATTTAATTTTGAATTAGAAATGATATTACTTGGTCAGTTAAGAAACCCCAAACAGAAATATTGAGAGACATGCGTTCATAATATATGCATAATGACAAGTATGCATAATGAAATCTTTGGAATTACTTTTTTTCATTTTGTTTGATCTTATTACAATATTTGGGTAACATTTACTACTTGAGATTTTAATAAAGGATAGCTCCAATTAAAAGATACAGAGTGGCAAGCTGGATAAAGAACCAAGACCCGCTGGTATGCTCTCTTCAAGAGAACCATCTCACATGCAGTGGCACAATTAGACTCAAAATAAAAGAATGAAGAAAAAATCTATCAAGTAAATGGAAAACAGAAAAAAGTGGGGTTTCAATCCTAGTTTCTGATAAAACAGACTTTAAATCAACAAATTTTTTTTAAAAAGTCAAAGAAGAGCATTACATAACGGTAAAGTGTTCAATTGAACAGGAAAAGCTAACAATCCTAAATATATATGTACTCAACACAGTAGTACCCAGATTCATAAAGCAAGTGCTTAGAAACCTTCAAAGAGACTTAGATTCCCACACAATAATAGTGGAAGATTTTAACACCTCACTGAAAACACTAGGGAGATCACTGGGACAGAAAATTAACAAAGATATCCAGTACCTGAACTCAGCACTAGGTCAAATGTACCTGATACATATATACAGAACTCTCCAACCATAATCAACAGAATATACATTCTTCTCATCACCGCATGGCACATATTCTAGAATTGATCACATAACCAAAAGTAAAACACTCCTTAAAAATGCAAAAAAAAAAAAAAAAACAAACCCTGAAATTATAGCAGTCTCTTGGACGACAACACGATCAAATTAGAAATCAAGACAAAGAAATTTGCTGAAAACCATACAATTACATGGAAATTGAATAACCTGCCCCTGAATGACTTTTGGGTAAAGAATGAAATTAAGGCAGTAATCAAGAAGTTCTTTGAAAATAATGAGAACAAAGATGCAACGTAACAGAATCTCTGGAACACAAGTAAGGTAGAGTTCAGGGAGAAATGTATAGCACTAAATGCCTACATCAAAAAGTTAGAAAAATCTCAAGTTAACCACCTAACATCACAACTAAAAGACCTAGAGAACCAAGAGCAAATACATTCCAAAGATAGCAGAAGATAAGAAATAACCAAAATCAGAGCTGTACTGAAGGAGCTTGAGACACAAAGAGATCATTCAAAAGATCAACAAATTTTTTGAAAACAATGATAAAATAGACTGCTAGCTAGACTAATAGAGAAGAAAAGAGAGAAGATTCAAATTAATACAATCAGAAACAATAAGGGTGATATTACTACTGACCCCACATAAATACAACCATCAGAGACTACAAAGAACACTTTTCTACACATAAACTAAAAAATCTAGAAGAAATGGATACATTCCACATACACCCTCCCAAGACTGAACCAGAAAGATATTGAATCCATGAACAGACCAAAAATGAGTTCTGAAATGTAGGCTGTAATAAATTGTCTTCCAACACAATAAAGCCCAGGACCAGATGGATTCACAGCTGAATTCTACCAGATGTACAATAAGATCTGAAACTCTTCCTACTGAAACTATTCAAAAAAATCAAGGAGATGGGACTTCTCTCTAACTCATCCTATGAGGTCAGCAACATCCTGATATCAAAACCTGGCAGAGATACAACAAAGAAAGAAAACTTTGGGTTAATATCCTTCATCAATATCAATGCAAAAATTCTCAGAAAACTACTGGCAACTCAAATTTAGTGCAGCACATCAAAAAGCTTATTCACCATGATCAAGTAGGCTTTATCCCTGAGATACAAGGTTGGTTCAATATAGACAAATCAATAAACGTGATCCATTGCATAAACAGAACTAAAAACAAAAAACATGTGATTATCTCAATACGTGGAGAAAAGACTTTCAATAAAATTCAACATCCATTTATATTTAAAACTCTCAATAAAGTAGGTATTGAATAAACATACCTCAAAATAATAAGATACATATATGACAAACCCACATCCAACACCATACTGAATGGGCAAAACCTGGAAGCATTCTCCTTGAAAACAGGTATAAGACAAGTATGCCCTCTTTCACCACTCCTCTTCAACATAGTATTGGAAGTTCTGGCCAGGGCAATCGAGTAAGATAAAGAAATAAAGTCCATCCAAATACGAAGAGAGGGAATCAAACTATCTGTCTTTGCAGAGGACATGATCTTATATCTAGAAAAACCCTATTGTCTGAGTCCCAAAGCTTTCTAAGCTGATAAACAACTTCAACACAGTCTCAGGATTCAAAATCAATTTGAAAAAATTCGCTAACATTTCTATACACCAAGCAGAGAGCAAAATGAGGAATGAACTCCAGTTCACAACTACCACAAAAAGAATAAAATACCTAGGTATCTAGCTAACTAGGGAGGTGAAGGATCTCTACAAGGAAAACTACAACACACTGCTCAAAGAAGTCAGAGAAGACACAAACAAATTAAAAAACATTTGATGCTCAAGGATAGGAAGAATCAATATTGTTAAAATGTTCGTACTGCCCAAAGCAATTAATAAATTCAATGTTATACCTATTAAACTACCATTTACAATCTTTACAGAATTAAAAGTAACTATTTTAAAATACATATGGAACCCAAAAAAAGTCCAAATATCCAAGGCAATCCTAACCAAAAAGAACAAAACTGGAGGCATCATGCCACCTGACTTCAAACTATACTACAGAGCTACTGTTACCTAAATAGCATGGTACTGGTACAAAAACAGACACATAGACCAATGGAACAGAATAGAGAACCCAGAAATAAGACCACACATCTACAACTATCTGGTCTTCAACAAAGTGACAAAAACAAGCAATGGGGAAAGGATTTCCTGTTCAATAAATGGTGCTGGGAAAACTGTCTAGCTATACGCAGAAGATTGAAACTGGACCTCTTCCTTATACCTTATACAAAAATTAACCCAAGATGGATTAAAGACTTAAGTGTCAAACCTAAAATTATAAAAACCCTTGAAGCCAACCTAGGAAATACCATTAAGGACATAGGCACAGGCAAATATTTCGTGACAAAGATGCCAAAAGCATTTGCAACAAATGCAAAAAATTGACAAATGGTATATAATTAAACTAAATTTCTGCACAGCAAAAGAAACTATAGACAGAGCAAACAGACAACCTGCAGAATGAGAGAAAATATTTGACAACTATGCATCTGACAAAGGTCTAATATCCAGCATCTATAAGAAACTTAAATAAATTTACAAGAAAAAAACAAACAACTCCATAAATGTGGGCAAAGAAAATGAAAAGACACTTCTAAAGAAGGCATAGATACAGCCAACAATCATATGAACAAAAAGCTCAACATCACTCTTCATTGGAGAAATGCAAATCCAAACCATAATAAGATACTATCTCACATCAGTCAGAATGGCTACTATTAAAAAGTCAAAAAATAACAGATGCTGGTGAGGTGTTGGAGTAAAAGGAATACTTATACACTGTTGGTGGAAGTGTAAATTAGTTCAACCATTGTAGAAGATAGTGTGATGATTCCACAAAGGCCTAAAGCCACAAATACCATTAGACCCAGCAATCCCATATACTCAAAGGATTATAAATCATTCTATAAATGATTTACAAAGACACATGCACATGTATGTTTACTGCAACACTATTCATGGTACCAAATCCATGGAATCAACCTAAATGCCCATCAATGACAGACTGGATAAAGAAAATGTGGTATATAAACACCATGAAATACTATGCAGCCATAAAAAAGAATGAGATCATGTCCTTTGCAGGGTCTTGGATGGAGCTAGAGGCCATTATCCTTAGCAAATTAACACAGGAACAGAAAACCAAAAACTGCATATTCTCACTTATAAGTGAAAACTAAATGATGAGAACACATGAACCCAAGGAGGGGAACAAAAGACACTGGAGCCTATCAGTGGGTGAAGTGTGAGGAGGGAGAGGATCAAGAAAAATAACTAATGTGTACTAAGCTTAATACCTGGGTGATGAAATAATCTGTACAACAAACCTCCCATGACACAAATTTATCTGTGTAACAAACCTGCACATGTACCCATGAACTAAAAGTTTAAAATAATAATAATTTAAATTACCAATTTAAATATATGTAAGTTACACCTTGCACATTTTATTAATACTTGTATACATATCTAAACTATATATGTATATCTACACATGAATTATGAACATTAACAAAATGTATTATTGGTAGAAATTTATTTTTTAAATTCCACCTTTCTTTACAAAAAAATTCATGACATCTAGCCCTAAGTACCAGAATTAGAAATCAGTATTACCTGAAACACATTCACAAGTCATAGGCTGATGCACGTATGTACACATTCTTTTCTTTTTGTCAGCTTATTGTGGCCTATAAAGTAGTGAGACAAAAGTGATTATAAAGAAATCAGGTTTGTGTTGAAGAGATCTATGTGTGATGAGGAAGGTGGTTTACTTGGAAAAGATTTATTAAGAAGAGAGGAGGGGTAGTTAACATTCTATACTGTATGCATTTTCTCCCCAGTGGGTCATTCTATTTGTGATCTAGGATCCTAGAAGGAAAGTTTGTTTTTTGAAAGAAATAGGTTACAAAAAGCCCAAACAACCAATGACAAAAATATAACCAAGGACAAAAATATAATATAATTTTTCATAAATAGCAGACACTTAAATGAGAGATACACAGAGTTCAGGGATAATAAAGCCAATACCCAATTAATAAAGGATTATACTTAATGTAAAGGTTGTAAACTGCCTGTAAAATTTATCCTTGCTTCTGTCTAATCCCTACCGTACATTATAGTTTAAATAATGACAAGGCACATAAATCATAATGACAAAGACAACTAGCAAAGTATTTTCAGTGGAAAAGAGACCAAAATGTATACATATATAAATAGGTATTTTAAATATATAAATTGTAAATATAAAGCTATATGTTGTATATACAATGTGACATATTTATGGGGAAATGAATGGGTATTATGCAATAAAGCAAGGCAGAGAATAATTTATCTAGAGAAGTAACAGAACAGAATATATCAAAAATAAGATAGAGCAGCAAAGGTGGATGGTAAGGAAATGTCTCTATACAGAATTTTACGTGCACCTACTCTTGTCTTCCATTCCAGCAAGTAGAATATCTTTGTCAGGCAGTATCCATCTCCCCAATCTATCCCCATCCTAAAATTGGAAGATTCACTTTAGAGAAATATAAAGTGCCTAGGAAACTTCTGTGGAGTTCAGTAATTTAGGGAACTTAAAGTAATGACTGTCTCCCAGTGCAATTATCCTGGAGCTAAGCCTACTAGTCAAGAGCCCCAGGCATCTTTAGCAGGCTCTCAATCAACTCCATCATGCTTGGTCTCATATATGATGGAAGGTTAAAAAGTACCAGACACTTAAGGGCAGCTTCATCACAAAACAAAGGCAAAGATCAACAGAGAACATGGCCCTGTAGAGGAGACTGAATAACAAAGAAAGTGGTAACATACTGCTCCCGCTCTGGGAGTGCCCTCCACTTAGCCTCATCATAGCTTGGCCATTAGTATTCATATTCTTATACCATGACATGAAACTAATGACTAAAGAGAAAATAGCATCATGCTTGAAGAAAACTTTCTCAGCTATGGCCTGCATAGTTCATCTACATTAGCCTCCACTCTGAAAAATTACTTATCCCTTAATATTCCTTTTCTTAGTCACAATATTTTCCTTTCTCGCTATTTTCCTCTACCAATTCCTATTCAGCTCTTGACAGAGCAATAGTTCTCATGGAAGTTATTTTAACATCATACCAGCAATGTCAAATACTCCTTAAAATCATGTATATCTAACAAAAGATCTTATGAGAGGGAATTAACATGGATTACTTGTTTGAATTAACTCCAAGCATACACAAAGAATGTTAAACACGTGGCACAATGTTATTAGCCCTATAATTTTCTCCTGAACCCTCTGATTTTTCATCATGCTGAAATTTGAATAGATACAAAGATACATCATGAAGAACTTGCCCTATGTTGAAATATATATATATACATATATATATATATATATATATATATATATATATATGAAAACAGGTTAATGGAATAGGATATATATGCTTGAAATATCATTTTACATGCATATAGAAAGTGATCTCAATTAAAAAGAAAATAAAGAGCAACAAATAAACAATGTAATTAATGATATTTTATATATGAGAATATTAAAACAAAATTTCATTTCACATAATGCCATAAATTAAACTCCATTTTAGAAAATGAGTAAAAGTAGATGAATTGCCACACCCTGGGTGAAGATGAAGTTATGAATAAAAGTAATGGAATAGGTAACAAACCCATAATTTTCAACTAGTATATATTTACACATCATAAACAATAGGCAAGCTGGGGAAAAATGCTTAGAAAATATGTGGTATAAAGATAACAGTTCTTAACATAGGGAAAAGTCTATAAAACATGAAAAATCAATTTGTTTATGAACTAAAAATTGTGGCAACCAAGTGTTATATACAAAATGTGAATGTGTTCCCTTTAGTTATAATCTAATACATTAAATAAATTATAAAGCATACTTATCTACCATTTGTTAATCTAATTTTATGTTTCTATATAGTTTACAGCATCAGTGCATCAGCATAATATAATATTTTACCATCTTATAGATTTTAGTGTATGTTACCTGATGGGTAATTATTTTGTTTTTCTATCGTGAACAAAAAAGAAAATTAAGCTCACCATCAAATATTTAAAATAAAGTATGAGAGGTAGAAGTGTATTAGTATCATTATCATTTAAAATTTTGTTCAAATAAAAGCAAAAGACAAAAGAATAGTTGCAAATATACTTACTTTTATAGGGAAGTTTAGGAAATTAAGAGAACTCTTCACTGATGCCTTCTAAGTTCTCTTTCAAGTAATAAATAAGTAAATTAGATGAGAACAAAGAAGGAAAGAAAGAAAAGTTATGAAGAGTGTAGACTTTGCTTTATGTAGACTCTGAAAAAAGTGGGAGAAAGAACATGGTGAGGGAAGAGAGGAGGACTACTGTGGCATGTTGAGGGAAGTATTGGTTGCATAATTTTGTGTGATTCTGTAATTTTTCTAAGAAACACTTCCAACCTGAGTGCGTGCTGGGAAAGAAAAAAACAGTTTGATTAATCCTGTGTTCAAGTTTTGCCAGATTTCTAATAGAAATATATTGGTACAAGTATAAGTGCAAAGATAATGGTCAAATAATTATTAAGAATTGAGAAGCTGAAAAACATAGACAGTTACAGACTGGAATTTTTTACTATTGTAGTACTAGAGAGCATAAATACTAAGCTATGCTACATTCGTTGGAATTCAGCTCTATACCTTATAAATATGGTAACCTTGGACAAGTGATTAATCTCCTGGGCCTCAGTTTCTTCAAATTTAAAGTGTCTGTAATAAGATTTATCTAATAATAATGATTTGAGAATTAAATATAAGTATTATAAAACACTTAGAATAATGCTAGGATCTAAGAAATGCTGTATGCATTTGTGTGTCATTATTGTTCAGAGTACTTGCAAGAATAAGCTGAAATATAGAAAGCTGTCGTTAAAAAGTGGGATGACTGAATAAGTAATTTCAGCAATAAAGCAGTTACCAGCTGCTGACAAGGCACAGGAGAGGGTAATGAAATTATGCAATAAATGATCTTGCTGTAAAAAAAATTTAAAAAATTGAGGATTCAAGTTTTTAACTCTATCATCTTTACTGATATGTTTATATTAATGGAATGATTTTGAGTTAGAAAATAACACTTTCAGTCTGTTATTAAAGATTTTGATGGAAGCAGTTTCTAGGTGATAGCATATATGTACAGAGGGTGATAAAGCAGAATTACATGTAACTTAAAGACATAATGGCTTCACATGAAGGCGGAAGAGTAGTGGTCTAAAAGTGCAGGGAATAAGGAGACCGCCTCAGATTCATACCATCAAGAGGAAGTACTCCCAGCACTAAGACTGCAAAAGAAGTGGCATTTTATCTCTGGAAAAAAACAGTTTCCACTAGTGTATGCATGCAAATGTGGAAGTCATTAAGCTTTGTTAACATTGTAGCAGTGTTTTCAAGTATCACATACAAAGATTGGGAATGAAATGAAAAAGAATCAGAATTCAGGATAGTGAGAACAGAGGGGACATATTTTTTAGGGGTAATTATACTTGTATTCAATTGTATTATGTACAGTGTATTTCAATTAGCCATAACAATGCAAGTACTACAAGTCCTCAGATAGAAGTGGTTTTTTAGCACTCAACTGCTGTCTCAATAGATTACACTACCGAGAGAGAGAGAGAGAGAGAGAGAGTGTGTGTGTGTGTGTGTGTGTGTGTGTGTGTGTGTGTGTGTGTTTTCCAGATTTCAAGAGTAGCCTGTATGTTTTGAATTTGAGGGAGCACAAGAGATTTCAGGGATCAATTATACAAAACTCCCTGAAAAAAAAAATGGTGTGTTGAGCTGAATGGCTAGAAATGTGACCAAACAAGGACACTAATACTCTGGATGGAAATAAATTTTATTGTGAGTTAGATAGGGTCGGTATTATTGAGTTTTTGTTTATAATCCTTTAATCACCTTTTTCTAAGCATCTCTAAATGGACATATAAGCATGTAATTATTTCTTCCTGTATGTGTTTTCATCAGCATTCTCTTCCTTGAGTAGGTTTGCAGGAGAAATAATACTCATTACTATTTATACCTACTATCATTAATGAATTGTTAGTATGACTTTCTCATATAAATGTGCTTATTTGTTCTGAATAGATGGACTATAGTAAAATGTCTTAAGGCTCATTAGAAGACACAGAATATTTTACTTTTGAATCAAAATCAATTATTCTGTAATTATTGAGAAATTCTTGTTATATATAAAACCACACTACTAAAACAACATGAGTAAGTTAAAGAGTCAGGATATTAAATTTAAATAACAAATTACTATTGTCTTCCAATGGCTATATTATTATATATGATTTTGTTGCTGTTATTATATGTCTGGTATTAAGTTTTAGGGAGTAAAGTATTCCCCCAAAAGCTTCTATGTAGAAATTATTTCAGGTAAGTGATTTCCTCTTTGATATAACCTAGTAAATTACAGGAAATATTAGTGGCAATCAACCATTATTTTTGTCTGCAATAATAACATTAAAATCATTATATTTTCCATATAAAGTCAACTTTGATTCAGTCACTTTATTGACAAATCTAAACCATGACTACTGTTTTCTGGGAACAAATTTTAATCTTATTTTAAAAAAGAACTATCTTTGTGTGTTTGGAAAATAAATTAAATAAACCTAGATACCCACTTCCATTTTAAGAAGTAGATCTCCATTAAAAACATAATAGATATATAATTGAGAGCACTGTTTTTTGCAATAGATATGCTTAATGTACAAAACTCCTATTAATGATATCACTTAAATATGCTACTCTAACTTGAAGACAATATAAAAGTTAAATTGTTTGTCTGCGAAACCAATGTCAAGAGTTGCCAGTAATTTGTTATATCACCTTGGATAGAAACATACTTTATTTTTTTCTGGAAAATAAAAGAAGCATTTGCTTCGTATTAAAGAGGTGCTTGCTATTTTAAAATATACAATAGTATTGTCACTCTTTTATATGTTCCAATGGCTGGTGGTGACAGTGTAAATTAGTTACAGAATCTCTTAGTAAACTACAGAGAAGTTCCTCCTAGTGTTTCTATGCATTTTTTTCCAGTAAGGTATATGGCAGGTCACAGGGAAAAAAACCACATAAATCAAATTTGTTAAGGAAAGCAGGAAAAACTAAACAGCACATCTATTCCCAAAAGATTAGATAATTCCAATTTAAACAAATTTCAGGCAAGGCTGGCACTTCTAATCAGCAACTATAGCAAATTATTCAATCCTAGATATATTAATTAAACAACAAATTGCTCAATTGCAAGACATGTGGTATGGAGTTATTACTAACTGGAAACTTAAGACAATAAAGTAAAATCTCAGTTGACATATTACATGAATTAAAATTTTTAAAACAATTTTAAAAAGAGTTCTCAAAGAAATGAAAAATATAAAGTTATGAAATGATGTTTATTTCCTAATTTTCAAATTAGTATTCTATAAGCCTATATCTTTTTCCATAAGAATATTACATTAGATCAAACTCAGCCTTAAAACACTGGTTTTTAGACATCAAAAGAGGCATTCTGAATATTGTTAGAAAAAATGAACAGCACAACTAAATTACATTATATTCATCTTTAAAGCCAGGCTCCATCAACATGATTTATCATCTTTCTTTCTGCTTTTTAAAAATTTTTTATGTATTTATGAACAAAGTACACATAGGAAATAATTGCATTATATTTTATATAAACATTTACATTATATATCATATATAGCTATATATATATATATATATATATTTTGGAGGCAAAGTCTCACTCTGTCACCCAGGCTGGAGGGCAGTGGCGCGATCTTGGCTCACTGCAACCTCCACCTCCTGGGTTCAGACTATTCTTATGCTTCAGCCTCCCGAGTACCTAGGATTAAGGCGCGTACCACCATATCCAGCTCATTTTTGTGTGTTTTTAGTAGAGACAGGGTTTCACCATGTCGGCCAGCCTGGTCTCAAACTCCTGACCTCAAATGATTCACCACCCAAAGTGCTGGGATTACAGGCATGAGACACCGCGCGGGGCCTCGTATCTGTTTTTATATTTGCTCATAGTACACATTTCCATATGTTTAGATGTCACAAAAAAGGCTGTGAAAAATGCACAACATGTCGTAAACACTAGCTAGTCAAGGGAAGGTGACATGTGAAGGGAATTTATTGTTTATTCATATTATATATTTTTACTTTTGTTAATTTGTTCAAGTGAACATACATTACTTTTATACCTAAAAGTATTATAATAAAGTTTCAAAAATAAACATTGAATTAGAAATCACATTTTTTGTATCCACTAATACGAAGAGTCAAATGTGTTTTTGTAATTAATAGGGTTATTATTTATCCACTTCTAAAAATGTTTTCTAAAAATAATAATTTTAGGGTCCAACAATGTTTTATAAAACTAATAATTTTAGAGTATTTTATTTTAGTCAGAATTTGAGGGAATATTCTGAGATCCTCTTAATAACACTAAGCTAGGAGTATAGAGCTTTGATACTCCAACAGTAAATAGTATTATTGACCCTTAGCTTTAATTTGCTTATAAACTTAAAAGAACTGTTCTGTAATTGTATGCAATCTCCACTTCGAGGGCTGCACCATAATTTCCATAGGTGATATGTGGAATCTCTGTTATCATTTGTCTGCTTAATTAATGGCAGAATCATGTAGGAAAAAAGCCCAAGAGATCTAGTAATTTTTATTATAAACAGTAAATGGAAAAGAAGTTACCTTTGTTATATTATGAATGATTAAATGGCAATAAAGTTTCTTTTTCGTTTTCACTTTCAAGGTAAAAAACAATGGAATAGAAGAAAATAGTAAATATGTTTTGAAGTTATAAGCAGAAAGGCAAGTAGCAAATGTCTAAGCATTTCAGTTAAGCCTACATTTTTTTTTTTTTTTTTTTTTTTTTTTTGAGACAGGGTCTCTGTCACCCAGGCTGGAGTCCAGTGATGCGATCTCGGCTCACTGCAACTTCTGCCTCCGGGTTCATGTGATTTCTCCTGCCTCAGCCTCCCAAGTAGCTGGGATTACAGGTGCCCACCACCATGCCTGGCTAAGTTTTTGTATTTTTATAGAGACAGGGATTCACCATGTTGGCCAGGCTGGTCTCAAACTTCTGACCTCAAGTGATCCATCTGTTTAGGCCTCTCAAATTGCTGGGATTGTCTGTAGGCATGAGGCACCACAACCAACCAAACCTAAAATCCTAACTGTCAGTGAAGGAAGCCAAGAAGTAAATGATCTACCTGAAAGAACTTCAAAATGTCTCAGAAATTAGATGATAACCAATACCTCTGAAGAGGAAATGGTGGGTAGACCAAAGATTAAAATAGCAATAATAGTTTAAATAGTGATGTAACAGATGTCCTCACTGAGAATAGAGGAATTATCTGCAATCACATATGCTGAAAATTGATAATCCCAGCTGTTCGTTCATGTGTGCGTTTGTCTGTTGTGTGTTTATTTTTCTAGACAGAATGCTGGATAATTTTTCTCTGTGAAAACTTATTGTAAGAAATGATAATCAAGTTTAGCCTAACGCTGCTTCCTTACATATTTTAAATTTGGCCTAAAAGTTTCTCTGTATATTGTAAACTATAACAACTGGAGATGTAAACAGAGCTTAGCCTACTCTTGTGTCAATCACCGAGTTTGGCCAATCAGTTTAGCCAACTGTACAAACAGTGTTCATATAAGGCAAACACCTAGCTATAACCATTCCGGCTGTTTCTGTACCTCACTTCCTAAAGTTTTCTGTATGTCACTTTCCTTTTTCTTTTTTTCTTTTTTGAGACGGAGTCTCGCTCTGTTGCCAGGCTGGAGTGCAGTAGCACGATCTTGGCTCACTGCAACCTCCACCTCCCACGTTCAAGCGATTCTCCTGCCTCAGCCTCCCAGCTAGCTGGGACTACAGGCGCCTGCCACCACGCCCAGCTAATTTTTGTATTTTTATTAGAACAGGGTTTCACCATGTTGGCCAGGATGGTCTCGATCTCTTGACTTTGTGATCCACTCACCTCGGCCTCCCAAAGTGCTGGGATTACAGGTGTGATCCCCGGACCCAGCAACTTTCCTTTTTCTGTCCATAAATCTTCTTCCACCATGTGACTGCGTTGGAGTCTCTGAGCATACTCTGGCTCTAGAGGCTACCCTATTCACGAATCATTCATTGCTCAATTAAACACTTTTAAATTTAATTCGGCTGAGGTTTTATTTTATCAGAGAGTAAGCTTGAAAAAAACATATGCCTAAATGACCCAGATAAAACTATAAGTTAAATAAATGATGGAGGAATTAGAAGACAAGGAATCAAAATACCAATATCTGCAGATAACAGGACCACGAACATAGAAATGCCATAAAGAAATAAACTCATTTTCAGAATTAGTAGAATTTAATGTGATCGGCAGATATAAAATGTTAACAATTAACAGGAAATTTAATAGTAAACTATAGAAAATACTATTCAAAGAAATTGTTTATAGAATACATAGTAATCAGACTAAAATAATTCATATAATATTTAAGTAAAATTGTAGAATGCAGGTTATGACATAAATCAATATTTGAATAAATAAGGAAATCTACAAACTTTGTCAATGGGAAAATATAAAATACTTAAATCCACACCCAACGTCTATCAATTCAATAAATCCTAATCAAAATATTCACTTTTTGGTTTTATTTTTAAGGAAACCTATAAATTCATTCTGTGATTTACATGACAGTATATATATGCAAGCAAATTATACTGTGAAACAGAAATGTACAGAGAGGCAACTGAGCCTAGCAGATATTTTAAAATATTAGAATATCATAAGATAGAATAGCATGGAACTGATTTAGAAATAGATTCAGAATGCTTAAAATGATCCCATATTTCTCTGATAAATTGATAAGTGATAAAGGATTTAGGGAAAAGCTATTGGAAATGACAGGTTATTTACCAAATGTTACTGCATTTTATATGGAAAAAAACATAAAACAGACTGATATACCATATTCACAATTGACCTTTATATTTATTAGGAAAAATGTAAACTGAAAAAGCATTAAAGTTAATAGAATCACATTAAAGGAATATATTTATGCAAGGCAAATGCAGATTATCCTTTGGAAAAAATTATTGGATGAAGAAGATTTTCTCAGAGACACTCTGAATTGGCCATTGAGTACCTGAGAAAACCCTCAGTCTCACGTGTCATTGAAAGGACCTGGTGGGAGGTAATTGAATCATTCGGGTGGGTCTTTCCCATGCTGTTTTCATGATGGTGAATAAATCTCATGAGAGCTGATTGTTTTATAAGGGGAGTTCCCCTGCACATGCTCTCTTGCCTGCTGCCATGTAAGATGTGACTTACTACTCTTTTGCCTTCCGTCATGATTGTGAGGCCTCTCCAGCCACGTGGAACTGTGAGTCAATTAAATCTTTTTCCTATAAAAACTACCCAGTGGCGAGCATGTCTTTATTCACGGCATGAGAACAGGCTAATATAACATACATACAATGGAATACTATTCAGGCATTAAAAAAAGAATGAAATCATGTCTTTGCAGCAGCATGGATGGAACTGTTAAGGAAAACAACTGAGACACAGAAAAACAAGTATTGCTTGTTCTCACTTTTAAATGGGAGTTAAATAATGTGTACACGTGGACATGGACTGTAAAATTTTATTATTTTACACTTAAATGTTCTATTTCCTTTGGCTTAAATATTCTACGGTACTTATTGATCTTATGTAATTGAATATATCCCAAATCACAGGGCAAGAATTTAATCTTTGCTAGTAATTATTTACTTACATATAGAGCTTCCCTAAATTTTTAGAGAATTAAATGTAAAAATTCTATTGTTTGAGAATATATAAAATTCCAACACTCTAGCTTATTTGATTAATTTTAATAGTCCTTAATGGGCTGCCAAATGTGCTTAAATATTCCTTCAACCTCTTTTTATTAGTCAAATATAGTTAGATCATTTATTAATTTTAGTAGTTATTAAAATGTGTTATTTGTTGTCAAATCAAAGTGAAATAGATAAATAAATCAATTAGATGTTATTTTAATTCCAAATTATCTAACATGATACATCTATATCTTTAGAATTTACTGAAAATTGACTCACATCATTTATCCTTTTATATATTTGAATTTTGTAAAACACCTTATTAAATACAGTAAAAATTGTTTTTGGAGAAAGAGTCAATTATATTATGTAAATTTAAAATTAGAGTAAAATAGTGACAGAGCGAGAATATGTATTGATTAGGTATTAACTAAATATAACATGTTTAATATCCATGAATAACTTTAACATTTTCAGCATTTTGCAAAAGTACTTATAAATTCTGGTTCAATATGGAAGACACAAACAAAACAAATTATAATAATATAGGAAATAGATACAATGATGCATAGTAAAAATGTACTTCAGCTCTTGAAATTTAGGCTGAAGTCTACTATCAGACAGCACGGTAAGAAATCTCCAGAAAACTAAATAAAAAGGTGGAAGAAGAGAGACTACCATCAAACCCCAATAACAAATGAATGGGCTACTCTATAGCCAAATATAATATTAAAAAAAAAAAAACACGGTGCTTTCCAACATGATATTCCCTTCAATAAAACAACAGTAGATGCTGGGAACTAAAGGAGTCATGGGTAAAGCCCTAAGTGGAAAATACCTACCATAAGCCTATTTTTTTAAAAACAATAAACTTCAACACTTGCCGTCCAAATGAAAAACAAGAATACTGACCTGCAAAGTAGAAGTTTTGATAAAATATCTGAGAAAAAGTACTAGGTATTGGCTCTGAGTGGAAGGAGGTGACACAGCAAGGACAGCAAATTTTCCTAAAACATGAAGGGAAGTTATTTATTTAAGGAGGAGGAAGAGAAGCAATCAGAGAAGGAGGAGAAAGAGGATAAGTTAGAAGATTAAGTGGTAGAAAACAAGAAAAAGAGATGAGGAAAAAGGAGAGAACAAGGAGGAGGAGTTGAAGTAGAAGGAAGAGAAGGGGGAAAGGAGAGTGAAGGGGGAAAGGAGAGTGAAGGAAAAAGTGGAAGAGAGGAGCAGGGGAGGAACAGGAAAAGGAAAAGTTAGAAGAAGAGGCGAATCAGAAGAGGAGGAAGAGGAAAAGAAGAGATTGAGGAGGAGGTGGAGAATTCCATAAGGAATGAGAAGATGAATATAATCACAGATGCAAAAATATGTTTTAAAAATATGTGAGAATATTATGACATGTGTTACCAGAAAGGTTATATTCTGCACAAAATGTATTTTCTAAGAAAATATATTTACAAAGTAAAGCTAGATTATCAAACAAGCCTTTCTCAAAACAAATGTTAAATGATGGAAAAAGTCAAACATAACATTGGCACCAGATCTAAACAAAATTTATACAAAGAAAATATTATGTCATAAAAATGTATGCAAAAATAAGAAGACACAAATTTGAACAACTTAGTTCAATAACACACTGAATGAGTGATACCTCAGGCCTCAGTAGAATGAAGAATGAGTATAGTAAATTTTCAACACTAGAAAAATTCAATGTAATTGAAGCATTACGAAATTAAAGGAGATGATCATCTAAATAGATAAAATCTACGTATTTAATATCAACAGTTATTTCTGGTGAAATTTTTGTGTAGAAATAAGTAAAATGGAATATCTTTAGCTTGAAAACAATTACTATTAATAGAAACTAATACCAAATATTTTCATAATATTAAAATATATATGCATATATGCATATTAGGAACAAAATAGATTTAAATAAAAAGAACCTGTATATCAACAAAAGAGAAGAAAAAATAAGGGAGAGAAATGAATAATAAAATAATGTAATGTGCAAAATGCATTTTATAACTACAAATAGCTACACTTTTAACATTAAAATTGCCTCCCTGGTGATCCAGAAATGCTTTACAAGCAATAGGGTAGCTATAGATTCATATATGATTGATATAATGCCAACATTATTGATATAATTAGAAAATATCAATATTACAAGGTTTTGTTCCTTTCATGGGAACTTTACTGCTATTTTGATGTAAATTTTTCATTCTTAGTAAAAGTGAAATGTGTAGTACATTATAATTATCAACATCATTATCAGCATGACATAAAGAACTAATATTTATTGCCCTTTAATTCTAAATAAGTTCCTGGTCTACATGGTAAATATTTATTCTTTATGACAAACATTTGAAGTAGTTATCATTTATTGTCTATTATTGTAAAGTGAAAATTTAGACTCAAATAGAGTCATTTTCACAAGGTTTTACATATATGTAGTAAGAGGTGAAACCAGACTTCAAACTGTTATGCTATCTAACAAATTTGGATCTGCACAGCAGCTCTCTCCTCTTAAACACAAACTTATATTTCTGTCTACCTATTTGAGAACATTAGGTGGAATTCCAACCAAATATCAATTTTAGCATGTTCATTATAAAATCAGGGTCTAACAAGTCACTTAAAATCAAGTGCTTTTCTAGGTTTTCCATCTTAGGTAAACATAGCACCAGATTCCTCATAATAAATTCATTACAAAATACTGTCAAAGTCATTTAATGAATATTACTTTAATAATCATTTTTTCGTGTGTGTGTATATATATATATGTATATATCTTAACACTTTTCTGAGTTGTCTCTTTCCTGAGTCAGTATAATACCTTCCTAACTGAACTCCTACATTGCTTCTAGTCCTTTTCAAAACATGCTCAAATATTTCACCCCAGCTCTCCAAACTAGAAATGCTTACTATAACCCACGAATTGCTGTGTTTTTTTCTTGTATTTTTCTATGATATTTAAAGTATGTTACAATTTTACAAAAAGAATAACATAAAATGATTTAAAAATAATGGAAAGGACTCAAATATTGATTGTGTGTGAAAACTTAATCTAAGCTACACCAGCTGAGAAATATTTAGAACCCTAATTGTTGAGCTGACTTGTTTACTCTTGGTTATAGATTCTATAAGTTGGAACAAATGTATGATTGCATATATCCCCCATTATAATAACACACAGAGTATATTCGGTGCCCTAAAATTTCTCTGTGTTCTGCCTATTCATCCCTTTGTACCTCCAAATCCCTAGCAATCTTTTTACTGTCTCTGTAACTTAGCCTTTTCCAGAATGTCATGTAGTTGGAATCACACAGTATGCAGAGCTTTTTCAGATTGGCTTCTTTCACTTAGTAACTTTCCTCTATGTCTTTTTGTGGCTGGATGACACATTTCTTTTTAACACTGAATAATATTTTGTTATCTGGATGTACCACAGTTTATTTATACATTCCCCTACAAAAGGACATTTATTCAATTTGAGGTAATTATGAATTAAGCTGCTATAAACAGCCTTGTTCTGGTTTTTGTGTAACAGACATTTTCAGATCTTTTGAGATCAAAGGAGCATGGTTACTGGGTCCTGTGGAAAAAACATGTTTAGTTTTGCAACAAAGCACCAAGCACCAAGTTTTCTTTCAAGTGGCCGTATAATTTTGCATTCTAATTGCCTTACAAACTTGCTAGCATTTAATGCTATCAGTGTTTTGAATTTTAGTTATACTAATATGTGTATAGTGATATCTCATTGCTGTTTTAATTTGCATTTTCCTGACGACATAATGTGGAGCATCTTTTCATATATCTTCTTTATTTAGGCATCTGCTAAGGTCTGTAGCTCATCATTTACTCAAGTTATTTGTGTTCTTATTGTTGAGTTTTAAAAGTTCTTTGTATATTTTATATGACAGTCATTTATCAGCTATGTCTTTTGCAAATATTTTCTTTCAATCTGTGTCTTGTCTATTCATTGTTTTGACAGTGTAATTCACAGAGCAGAAATTTTTAATTTTAATGAATTCCAACCGTCACTTTTTCATGGATGGTGCCTTTTGTGTGACATGTAAAAAGTCATTGCCAAGCCCCAAGTAATTTAGACTTTTTTTCTCCAATGGTATTTTTAGGAGTTTTATAGTTTTGCCTTTTACATTTAATTCCATTATCTATTTAGAGTATATTTATATGAAGCTATTTCTGGGGTCTCTATTCTGTTCCTTTGATCCCTATGTCCACTCTTTTGCCAATAAATCACTGTCTTGATTATTGTAGCTTTATAACATGACTTGATGTTGGATAATGTCAGTATTACAATTTGTTCTTCTCTTCTTCTTCAATATTGTGTTGACTCTCCTGGATTTTTGCCTCTCTATAAAAACTTTAGAATAAGTATTTTGATATCATAAAATAACTTGGTGACATGCTACTGAGTTATTTGAGTTCTTTTTATATTCTAAATAATAGTCTCTTGTTAAGTAAATTGGTTACAAATATTTTTTCCCATTAGGTAGTTTGTCTCTTTGCTCTGTTGATTGTTTCCTTAGCTGTACAGAAGCTTTTAGTACAATATAGTCCCATCTGTCTACTTTTAGTTTTGTTGTCTGTGCTTTTGATGCGTTAGCCATAAAATATTTGCCTAGACCAATGCTATGAAGTGCTTTTTCTATGTTTTCATCTGGTAGTTTTATAATTTTGGTATTGGATTCAGTTTGTTAGTATTTTTTTTGAGGATTTTTACGCCTATTTTTATCAAGGAAATCTGGCTATAGTTTTAGTTTTTTTGCATTCTTGTCTGGTATTGGTATCGGTATCACAGTAATGCTGGCCTCATGGAATGAGTAAGCAAGAATTTCCTTCCCTTCCATTTTTTTTTTTTTTTTTTTGGCATGATTTGAGGAGAATTGGTGCTTGTTCTTTGAAAGTTTGGTAGAATTCTCCAGTACAGCCATCCATTCTTGAACTTTTCTTTGTTTAGAGACTTATTAATACTGATTAATCTTATTATTTGTTATTGGTCTCTTGAAGTTTTCTATTTCTCTCTGATTCAATCTTGATAGGTTGTACGTGTCCAGGAATTTATTTTCTCTAAGTTTTTCCTTTGTGTGTGTGTGTGTGTGTGTGTAGTTGTTCCTAATAGTCTCTGAATATATTTTATATTTCTGTGGTATTAGTTGTAATGTGTCCTTTCTCATTTCTGATTTCATTTATTTAGGTCTTCTTTCATTTTTTTCTTGATGAGTCTAGAAAGAGGTTTATCTTTTTTTTTATCTTTTCAGAAAATAACCCTCTCATTTCACTGATTCTTTTCATTTTTTTAAGTCTCTATTTTATTTAGTTCTGCTCTAATTTTTATATTTGTTCCAACTATTAATTTTTGGTTTTGTTTTGCAGATGTGCTTAAAATAAAGATCTTCAAATAGGGAGAGTGACTTTGATCATCTTGGTAGTCCCTACATCCAATCACATGTACCTTTAAAAGACAGAGGCATAGAAAGACTTGACACATATAAAAGGTAATTTGTCCAAGAAGAAAAGGTTGGAATGATGTGGTCACAAGTCAAGGAATAATGGTAGCAAATACAAGCTTGAAGAAGTAGGAAATAATTCTCCCAAGAGCCTCCAGAGGGAAGGAAGCCCTGGTGTCACTTTATTCTTTATCCAGTAAAATTGATTTTAGATCTCTAGTCTCGAGGACTGAGAGAGAATAAATTTATGTTGTGTGAAGCCATGAACTTTCTTACAGTAGTTTTAAGAAACTAATATCACAAATAAACAGAAGTAAATTATTAATAATTTATTAGTTGATTATCTTTTCAGTAGTATCAAAATGACTTGAAATTCTACCTCTAATTTATTATTTAATTATCTACTTCCCTCTGATTCACACCTTTTCATTATCTAATTAATGATAAAAATTTCAAAGAAAAATAAAAATCAGATATTTGGTATATAAATGTAACATAAGTTTTCATTGTTTTAAACATTACTTTTGAACAATAATAATTGAAGTTGTATTTTACAAACTGTTATTATAATTAGAATATCCTCATAGTGACATTAAAATATAAATAATACCTTTACTAATTATAGAAATACCTTTATTTTGTGTGTTTTGTTTTTAAAGTATTCTTAGATTCTCTTTCTGGTAATTATTGATGAGTCTGTTTCAGATCAATCTTTCTGCTGATATTAACAATAATCTATAAATATCGCACAGCTAACAAGGTAATAAGGATTTATATGGTTAAATATCTAAGAGAAGAGAAATCAAATGAGCTGACCTATGGGTCATTTGTTGTTCCCAGCCATTGAGAAGCAGAGAAACTGTTCAGACTTTTCTTTTTTATCAGAATGAAAGAACTAGGGGTAAAAATGGATTTCAGATTTACTAAACTTGAAGGGCCCTGGTGAATACTCGAAGCATTTAAGATATCACCACAGGATAAAATAAACAATACCATATTCTGACAGAAATTAAGTTTTTAAATGTTCTAATCTCTGAATAGATTAAAATGATCTAAGTTGGTAGTATGTCTAATTCACTTCTTGTCAGAAAGAAATGTAAATCATATCAGGTTCACATGGTCTCTATAGCAGCTTTCTGCATAATAGCCTCAAATTAGAAGCAACTAAAATTAGTATCAATTAAAGAGTGGTGAAATAATTTGTGATAAGTCAATATGTTGGAATTTTTTTATTGAATAAAAGAAAATGAAACTATAATAAATAATTATGAATACATATTATTATAAATATTACATTAAGTTAAAAATGCTAGAAGAAATAAAGCCTACAAAAATTATAATTTCCAATATTAACATTCTTTAAAAAAGTAAAATTACAAGGAAAAAGATCAGGGCCAGGATGCTGAAGGGGTTTCATAGCAAAGAGGCTTTAGGGAACTTTCTGCTGTAGTGGTAATAATCTACATCTAGATTGAAGAGGTAACTACATGACTGTATACATTTGTTGAAACTAATGAAACTTACAAATGGTTATGTCATTTATATCTCATTAAACCTGATTAAATACAAAAAAAGAGATGTGAAAAAAATAATACAATGCAAAAACTGTAATACTTAAATCTAACAAAGAGCCTTTATCTGGAATATATAGTCTCATTGCTAAATAATAAGGGAACTTTGCTAGGAAAATGCTAAATATTAATTAATAATGAAGCAGAATGAAAGCAAATTTAACTCAAAACGTTTAAAAGATTAATAAATGTTATAACAGCAGACATTAATAAAATAGAAAATAGAAAAATGGCAAATTTGGCTATTGGAAAAGACTAATAAGAATGACAACTCTAAGACAATATTTAACAAAAACTATATAATCTGAAAGCTATCATCAGAAATAATAAAGGAAGCAAAAAAAGAAATAATAGGTGAAGCGTAGTAGCAGGAAAAAAATAGCAAATGGCACATCATTATAAATTTTACAAATACTGAGTCTCTATTTGAGTATATTATAAAAATGCATGTTAATAACTATTTTCATGTAGATGAAATCAATAAATCTCTAGAAAAATAAATTTAAAAATTGACATGGAAGAATTTTTAAACCAAATATCTCCATGTCTCTATTTTAGTAAGTAAAATTTTGATTTATATTTACTTACAGAAAAATCCCATGCTGCCAAATTTTGTAAAGTTACCAAACATAAAAAACACTTTCTAAAAATGAAAAATTACAGGACAATCATTTTTATGAACATAGATGAATATTTCTAAACAAAATCTTAACATGTTATGTCTCTAATGTTATTCAAATAGACTTATGGTAACAATTGTTCAGTCAAGAAGTGATTTTATATTTGAAAAATCAGTTAAAGTAATGCACTACATTAAAGACAAAAACTAAGTTATTTCCTACACAGAAAAGAATTTTGTAATATTTAACATCCATTTAAGTGAAAAACTCATAGTAAACTAGAAATAGAAAGAAACTTCTGATAATTATTTTTGTGAAAAGATATCACCTCTAACACTACATTACTTAACAATAAAAATTTGAAGATTTTCCCCTGAAAACGGAAAGATCCAGTAATGCCTTATTATCACCAAATATATTCAACATTGACTAGATGCCCTAGCCAGTCCTTTTGGGTAGGAGAAAAACATAAAATAATGATATAATTGTGTGTAGAGAAAACACAAACTTGATCTACTAATGGTATAAAAAAAGCAATATGAATATTTTTCAAGTTTCTGCATGGTTGAGATGTTTTAAGCAAAGAAATCTAGTCTGATTTAAGAGACGAGATTGGGGAGTTAAAGAGTGATTAGAGACTTTTAAATAGAGACAGAGATTAATCTACCCAAAGGTATGCGTTTACACTTCAAAGGAAGATGAAACAAAGTAATTCATTTACATTCTAAAGAGCTGTAAACGAGAGACCTTCCCTTTCTTTTCAGGAGAGGATTTGTTTATTATCTTCAGGAAATCAGATTTCTCCCCCTCTGGCAAAAGAAAAGGTATGCAGAAGTATCAGAATTTCTATATAAACTCTCAGGTTTATATTTTTATATCACTGATGGTGCAAGAAACTCAGTTTTCATATACCTAGTACTAACCATCAAACTCTCATTGGATTGTTTTGAAGACAGAGAATGGTATGTGGAGCACTGATTAAATCATTACTTCAAGTAATAAATCTAACTCCATATTCAAAAACCTCATATTTGTTTTTAAAATAATATAGGTAAAAACAGATATTTATAACAGATGAAATAGAAATTTTAAAAAATGAAAATTGAGTTTAACAAGTTTGCTACATGGGAGACAATATTAAAAATTATACTTCTGACAACATTTTCACACATTTATTAGATTGCTTAAAATCCCAAAACAGAAAATACCATTGGCTGGTGAAGATGTGGAGAAACATGTGCTTTCAATTATTGCCAATGGGAATGCAAAATGTTGTAGTCATTTTAAAAGAAGGTATGGCTGTTTTTAAATAGCTGAACATAGTATTACCATACGACCCAGCAGTCACACTCCTAGATATTTACCCAAACCATTTGAAAACTTATGACCATACAACAGCTTGTGTGTCGATCTTTATAGCAGGTTTATGTATAATCACTCAAAACTAGATACAACCAAAATTCATACTATGGATTATTATTCAATGATTTAAAAATAAGCTACCAAGTCCTGTAAAGACATATAAACCTTAAATGCATATTGACAAGTTAAATAAGTCAGTCTAAAATGAATACATATTGTATAATTCCAATTATATAACATTCTAGAAAATGAAAAACTGTAGTGATGGCAAAAAGATGTAATCACCAAGGATTTGGGGAGAAAAGATATTCAATGCAGTTTAATAACCAAGACTTAATAAACAAATATACAGACCTCCTATAAATCAGTATAGAAAAGATAGGACATTCAACAGAAAAACTGGGACTTGGGTAGCATTTCACAGAAGAGGATATCCTAATGGTCAATAAGCATGTGAGATGCTTATTAATCTAATTAACCATCAGGGAGACATATAATAAATCTACAGTTTGAGGAATAAAAATAAAATTCTAAGCTCCCAACTGACTAAACAGATCCACTTTTGACTGGGGGGACCCCAGAGAAACCTTGGAATCTGAGTTCCCAGCCACAGCTGCCTGGGAAGTCAGACAGGCCTTCTTATACCCCCTCCCTCAGTAACCACCATTAGGCTTTCTTCTCTAAAGGCTAAACAGAAACCAGCCCTTTTATAAGACTCACACTGGTAATGTCTGTTACTGACTTATCTTCCCAGGTACAGAACAAAGACAAGATGAGATTGATCATTACTTTACCCCTCCCTGAGGTGTTCGTTTTCTTCATATGTTCATCTTATGTTGTGTAAAATGTAGATTTACTGGGTATTAACTGAAGTCTCACATGTATATAACCATTTGTCTCACTGCCCCTCCTTTTTTTTTTTTTTAAGGAAAATGTATAAGTACAAAACCTCTTGAGAACCTTTCTGGAATCAATAGCCACAGATGCGTCTGTTACTTGTGTTTTTCACAGGCAAGCCCTCTAGCTGGCTCAATAAACCTCAATTGATTGGGACAACTGCCTCGGTCACTCAATTTGGTTGTCGAATTGATACCACTACACCCTTACCAGGTAATTAAAAAGGCTGAAATCATCGAACATGTTGAGAATTGAAATCAGTGGACACTTACAGACTGTGAATGTGAAAGGGTGGTACACTTCTTTACAAAGGTAAATACCATGCCCTGTGACCCAGAATTGTCACCTAGTGGATTCACTTTGCCCGCTGCCTAGACAGAGCTGATTTATCAAGACAGGGGACTTTCAATAGAGAAAGATTAATTCACACAGAGCCAGCTGTGCAGGAGACCAGAGTTTTATCATTACTGAAATCAGTCTCCCCCGAGCATTTGGGGATCAGTGTTTTTAAGGATAATTTGGTGGGTGGGAGAAGGCCAGTGAGTCAAGAACACTGATTGGTTGGGTCAGAGATGAAATCATAAGGACTTGAAGCTCTTGCGCTAAGTCAGTTCCTGGGTAGAGGGGCCACAAGATCGGATGAGCCAGTTTATCAGTCTGGGTGGTGCCAGCTGATCCATCAAGTACAGGGTCTGCAAAATATGTCAAGCACTGATTTTAGGAGGAGTTTAGGGAGTGTCAGAATCTTGTAGCCTCCAGCTGCATGACTCCTAAACAACTAGGTCCCAGGCAAGAAAAAGGTTTGTTTTGGACAAACGTTGTTATCATCTTTGTTTTAAATGATAAACTAAATTCCTCCCAAAGTTACTTCAGCATATGCTGAGGAATGAACAAGGACAGCGTGGAGGTTAGAAGCAAGATGGAGTTGGTTAGTTCAGATCTCTTTCACTGTCTCAGTTACAATTTTGCAATGGAGGTTTCAGAATTTCATGTCCTATTTATACTTCTCCCCTAAATATAAGTAAATTATTCACCAAAAGGCATATAGTACTATATTCATAAAACATTATTTTTATAGTCAACCTCTGGGAAATAAACCAAAATCCAAATGTTTAGTAACAGTAGAGTAGCTAAATAAAATGTCACATGATCATGAAATACAATTCCATATAGTGTTACCATAGGTAGCTAGTTAGACATGAGCAGGACAGGAGACCACCCCCACCATCAAGAAATGCCAGGTGACCATCACGTAATGGTCAAGTGGTTGTTAACTGTCTCTCCAAAATAATTGGTCACAGCCAGTGCCAGAGAATGGCAACCTCCAAATAGATAGAAACATCTGAAGCTGGTGATCAGCCACTTCCTGATAAGATGTCAGGAGCTGGGCGATTAGGCTCAAGCATGATCACTAGGAGGCACAATTGTGGAGTTTAACTGGTAATTGACCTTCTAGGAATCATTTGACTGGTAAGGGGAGAAACCCTGAAGTGAGCATGCCTACAACTCCAGTAAACACACTGTGCATGCAGCCCCTCCCAACAGCGGACAGCCCACCCCAACGGAAGAATATGGGGATAAGGGACAAAACCCCCTGGAAGCATGCCAACATATTAATCCCAAATCAAAATTCAAACCATGCACTTGATCTTTCAAGTTGCCTGCTTGGCCCTCTTCCAACTGTACTTTACTTCTTTTCATTCCTGCTCTAAGGCTTTTTAATAAACCTTCTCTCCTGCTCTAAAACTTGCCCTGGTCTCTCACTCTGCCTTTTGTCCCTCTGTCAAATTCTTTCTTCTGAGGAGGCAGGATTTGAGGTTGCTGCAGACCCACATGGACTCGTCACTGCTAACAATAGTACTTTATGTAATCAAAGTAAATTTAAAAGTTGATGTCCACACCAACTGAATAAATCTCATAAACATAATATTGAATAAGAGAAGCCAGACATAAAATACCCATATTCTATATATTTTCATGTATGTAAAGTTAAAGAAGAGTCGAAAATAAACTGTGTTCAATGTGCTGTTAAATGGATGTACTGAACTTATGATTATTAATCAAGATAACACATATCTCTTTTTGCATTTTTAAAATATTTCTACTGCAAAATAATTATTTTAATCTTAATTATAGACTACTATTTTTAAAATTCCCTGATCACATTTTTACTGAATACACCCTAGTGCTATAGGTGAAATATAAGTAATTAATTCACAACCTTAAAGCAGGAATTTGAGTTTATGAATTCTAATTTTTTTGTTTTTTATTTTTATGTGCACATAATAGCTGCAAATATTTATGGGGTACATGAGATGTTTTGATACAGGCATGCAATGTGAAATAAGCATAATCTTGGAGAATGGGCTACCCATTCCCTCAAGCACTTATCCTTTGAGTTACCAACTTGGCGAATAGGAAAGAATGCAAAAGTATAATCCATGTGTGAGATTGGCCAAAACAATAACTTGAGCTGGGGTGGAGGCTGATTTCCCCTCAGTTTACCACTGAACAAGAAATAAACAATGCAAACTTCAGATTAGGGCAGATAAGTGGGTACAGCTTTCAAATACTTTTTAGCTGCTCAAAAAAAAAAAAAAAGTCCTAAAGTTTGTTGATCAGTTCAGATACACAGAAAAATAAATCTACAGAAAAGTTCAGATCAATTGAAAAGCTCTACTTCTTCCCATCAGGCTTGGAGAGGGTCAACATGAAGTAATTACTTGCTACTGGTCTCTTGGTAACTAACTCCAAACTTCGTATTTTGCTTTTCTGTTTGCCATCACAGCTAAGATAAGCTTAATAGGGGTATGCCATACTCCTCATCTGAAATATCTGCAAGTCAAAATATTTTGTTGTTGATATTGATGAAGTAGAATGTCAGAGGATATTCCATGTGTACATTCATCTATAAGATACTTAGGAGATAGAATCAAAATGTCTCATTAGTTATTAGCTTGTCAGTGTAAGAATTAAGTACAAATCATCTGTCGAAGAACAGGTTTCTGGCTTCTAGAAATTATAAATGATTGCACTGATATAATAAGCACAGGAAGAGAAAGGGACTTGGGAAACAAAGTAAAGAGAAGCCAAATTCAATTTTGGAATGTTAAGTTGAAGCTTCAAGAGAAATAATTAAATAGATATTGACAACGATTCATGTTTGCTTCATTGTGAAATTATTTTCAATATAGGTTAAAATTATTTTTGGTGTAGGTTGTTTATTTGTGTTACAGGTATTTAATATTTTTCGTAAGAAAGAAGTATCATTGTTTCTCTTAGTTCAAATATTCTTTGATTTCCTTCCATATTCCATTTTCTCAATATAAGAATACATACATACATTTCATTGTATATATATTTCAACCATTATATCCTTTGACTAATAGAAAATAAATTCTAAACAATATAATTCATATAGTTTAGATATTTATATAATACTGTGACTGATCTAAAATTGTACTAATTTTTATACCGATGATGACATACCCAATCAAAAAAATACTTAGAATATACTTTCTTAAAGACTGTAGTCAAAATGTTATAAAGTAATCTGATTAAGCTGAATCTATTTTTGACAAGAAAAACATACCAACATATAGAGAAGGCTTAATCCATTTTAGAGTTGATAGTTATTGACCACTATTTAGGTACTCTAGCTGAATAATTTTTATTTAGCTTCAGACAAAATGAATGTCACAACAGCCTTTAATGGCTGTGTGTGTGTGTGTGTGTGTGTGTGTGTGTGTGTGTGCGTGTAATGAGTCTCACTTGGTCGCCCAGGCTAGAGTGCAATGGCACGATCTCGGCTCACTGCAACCTCTGCCTCTGGGTTCTAGAAATTCTCCTGCCTCAGTCTCCCAAATAGTTGGGATTATAGGTGCCCACCACCATGCCCGGCTAATTTTTGTATTTTTAGTAGAGACAGGGTTTCGCCATGTTGGTCAGGCTGGTCTTGAATTCCTGACCTCAGGTGAGCTTCCCACCTGAGCCTCCCAAAGTGCTGGGATTACGGGTGTGAGCCCCCCAAAAAAGGCATTTAATCCATGCATATTGTGGATTTAGCTCTATTGTAGTTGTGATTACAATGATATGCAATATCCTGCCCTCAAAAAATTTACAGTGATAAGAACTACAAATAAGTAAAACACAATAATATTGCCAGATAAAACACACTATAATAGGTGTATTCCTTGGAATATAAGGGAACAGAAGGGTAATAGCTAACAAATGTGTGTACTGATATCTCAGAGGCTTTTAAGGTTGAGAGGAATTTGTGATAGAAATAAAAGAGTAAGAGAGTTATTGGTAGAGACCAGCACACATAAAGAAAGGAAGAAAAAGAATGACATGTTTGGGAAGTAAGAAGACAGTTACTATATTTTTAACACAAAGTAATAGTGTTTTATAAAAGACTGAAAAGATAAACATGGGTAAGTTTATAAAGAAATGCTTATATGTATATACGGCGCACTAAAGTGTTTCAGCTTTTTACTGAAGATAATGGAAGCTCTTAAATACTATTAGGTAGACAACTGGAATGGAGATATTTGCATTTTAGAACAATTTTTATGTCTTCTCTAAGAAATATATATATAGTGGGACAAAGGAAAAGCAACAGTAAGAAGAGTTTAGTATGGATGGGAGAATCAAACTGAAAAATAGTAATGGTGATGCAAATGAATAAATGGCAGGTGGTATGTAGAGAAGTGGATGCATTTAACCAATAATTAGGGGATTGAATCAATGGGAGTTGTTCATTTGTGGGCTGTCTATGTAATGATACAGGGACCTGTATGGTTGATGAGGCTTAAGATTTTAGTTTGTGTAGCTGTGGCAGAAGTCGGCATTATCTGAGGCAGGAAACGCAGGAAACTAAAATAATCTGAGGGATGTCATGGGGGAAGGATAAGATCAGTTTGGGACTGAAGCTGGAGATTCTGAGAAACTGCCCACATGTTTTTCTCGAGTAGGCAGTTTAATTTGTGGCTTTAGGATTAAGGAAAATAAACATTGACTACAGGTAATAAAAAAAAAAAAAGGAAAATCAACATAGAGATAGTGACTGAAAAAATGCATATGGCCATCACTTAGGAAGGATGTTCCAAGAAGAGGACTAAGGGCTAAAAACAGGAAAATCCACAGAAAAAGAGGAAAATCTGCAAGGAAATAAAAATGTACACAAAAGACAAAGAATATTGTAGTATGGTTGAAACAGAACTAGAGGAAACATGGAAAATATCCAAAAAGGAAGAGTGTATGACACTATCACCATAGAACAATGAAATGTAAATAAAATAAAAATAAGAAAAGAGATGAAGAAAAATATTCATTCAGTTAGAATTTGTTAAAGTTTTCTGGTGAATTTGTTTAAATTTGGTAAATTTGTTTAAATTTGTTAAAGGTCTTTGGTTAAAGTAAAATTTGTTAAAGTTCTTTGGTAACTATGTCAATACCAGTTTTAGTAAAATCATGGGGGTGGAAACCAGAGTGTAATAACATTGACAAACAAGTAGGAAGAAAGAAATTTAAGGGTAAATTTTAAATTCCATTCACATGAAGTTTGTAGAAGGGAGGAAATAGATAACAATAAGTGGAGTTGTCCTGAAGTCAAAAAATATTTTCTAAGATGTAAGATGGCAACTTGAGTTTAAATAAACATGTAAAAATAAAGGAGAAACTAAAGAAGTTAAAGATAAGGAAAAAAGGGTGTTTAATATGGTAAAATATGTTATATTCATTTTACATAAAGCATGTCCTATGAGCCAGAAGCATTAAGCATCCTCCCAAAACTCATTAGAAATACAAAATTTGAGGTCTTATCCTAAATCAGTATGCTAAGTAAGATCTGCCAGTATTTTGTATGGTAATTAAAGTTTCATAAGGTTTATTATCAGTTGTTCTTTAAAACCTGATTGAGTTCACTCGTGGAGGCACTGGTTTTGATTGGGAGAAAAGATACTTTTATTTTGTAAGAGGAAAGGAAATGTAGATGTGACTGCTATTACAAATGCGGACATGATCAAGACATGTAAGAGTTTCCTAGTTAACGGTTTAATTCACCTTGGTCATTTGCTGATGTGAAAAAAGGCATAATGGAGGTGTAGTTTTGATAGTGGAGAAACTTTCTAATGCCTGATGGAGTAAATGTGAAAAGATAATAGTGAAACCTCGAGATTTTAGGACAGCTTTGTGGGGTCAGTTAAAATTGGACACTGTGTTTACTGCAAACATTCTATATGAGTTATTTTCTCTAATATCACTCAGAGACCTTGCCTTAAAACAAAATTAGTCAAATAAGTACAGTGAGTCAGATGTGGTATTTCTTAACTTATATATAATAGATATAAAAGTTGACCATCTTGACTTAAATGTAGTCAAATATCATAAAAATATTTTAGGGAAAGAAATGAAGATAGATACAGAGATTGAATTGAGATTGAAATCAGAGGGCTAGAGTTTGAAGAACAGTCTAAGAAACAAAATTAGACTGCTGTAACAATCAGAAATTATAGTGCAAGAATGAAGAATTTGAAGCTACTGTTTCAAAGTAGAGCATTTCTAAATAAATGTAGGTTAAGACTGTCGGAGTGAGTGCTTGAAGTATATTGACATTGAATATGACTAGTGTTGAAAATTTCAAGCAAATGGCTGGATCAGACTGCTGAAACTTTATCCACCTGACTACTGAAATCATCATAAATAATAAATTGTCTCTGAGTATAAAGGAAGACAGTGAATCAAGTACAAGGTTTACAATCATGAATAAGAACAACAGGTTAGTATGAAATTGCATTATGGCTTTTGTGGGCCCTGAGCATTTTTGTCTTTACGATTTCCTTTCTCCTTTAAAAAAAAAATATATATAGATATATCTATATCTATATCTATAGATATAGATATAGATATAACAACTTCACTGATATAAAGACAAGAATGCGAACATTACATATTGGAATTTATTTTCACCTAAAAGCTTATTTATTTGTTTTTCTGATTTTAATAGAAATTAAAACATTTGTGTGGGCATCCAAAATTATTGGAGGCCATAGGCACTGTGCTTAATAGATAAGTTGTCCCTGATGATGTAGGTATCTATGAAGTTGATTATTTTATCTGCTAATTTAAAAGAATAAGAAGTCTTTTTGTTAGTTATCACAGTTTTACTATTCTTTGTGCTTATGATACATGTTCATTAGATTTCTTACCAAAACTTAATTGAATCTGAAAGATAATTCAAGGAACTTCTTCCTCCTTCTGAATATATGCAAAAAATTGACAAAATAAATAAAATAATAATTTTCCAAACATGAATGGACAGAAGCAAAAACTGGCAATGATCCCTATGAGTTGACAACACATTAGCTGAGCCATGTGTTTGTCACAGCTAAATACCTTGACAGAGTTTCCAGTCCATGGTTCAGGTTGGAAGAATCCATGCAATGCTGGCAGACTCCTTGAGATGAGAAGAGAAAGCCAAGAGTTTAGGGAGACCAAGAGAGTAAGATGGAGTATCAAGATGAAAACTTAAGCATACATGCCTGCGTACACACACCTACACACACACACTAGTGCTACCCACAGACACTAGTGCTAACAGTGACTTGTGCTCACACACTGCCAGAAATAAACTCTGATTCATAGGATGATAGATAGATTAGTGGACAGAGAACTGTCTTACCTCAGGAGTGAAAAATACCCCCACACTGAGCATGGTTCCAGCCACAACTATCAAATATTAAAACCAAGAACAGAAATATAAAAATGTTTCCAAGTCACTTTATTGAATTTCAGAAAAATTTTTCAAGAATATGCATAAGAATAAGAACTATCCTGCCTACAGGAAGGTAATAGTCACAAAGTTTGGCATCCAAAAACAAACAAACAAATAATCAGGAATGCGAAGAAGTAGGAAAAACAACATATAATAGGAGAAATGTGAATCAATTAAATCTGATTCCAAACTTAAATTAACAGATGAGGATGACAAACCACTTATCATAGCTATATCTCATACACCAAAATATTTCATCAAAATATAGAAGATATATGAAAGAGCTAAATCAAACTTCTCATAATGAAATCTATGGTATCTAAGGCTAAACATTCACTCAGTGAGCGTGACTTCCAGAATGTCAGCATATCCTCTCCCTGAAAAGCGAAATTAAACTGGAGAAAACTGTCAAAAGCAACCACTCCATGACTCTAGAAATTGAATAAAGTCATACAAAGAATTTGCTAATATTAATTTAAGGAACACTGCTGAACCTCAATCAGAACAGTTGAATAAAGGCATACAAAGAATTTGCTAATTTTAATTTAAGGAACATTACTGAACCTCAATCAGAACAGTGAGATTCTATGACAGTTTAGCTAAAATCTGCTGCCTTCCTCCCACTGAGTTTCATGGCAGAGTAGTGATTCCAGAGCTGTGCAGGCCATGAGTACCTGCAGTTCTGCTGTTGAAGTGGCTGGCCTGATTAAGAGAAGAAGAGAAAATCACCGTGCCCATAGGAATTGTCAAAAATAACAGATCCTAGTGTAAACATGAGGAAAGACTAACATCCCAGATGTCTGAAGTTTTGATACTCATTAAGTAAAAATGTTAAAGCATACATTTAGGCAAGCCAGAAAGAGAACAAGGAAATCTAGATAATGAGACAGACACAGTAGACATTGACAAGATCCCAGAGAGAAATCTATATTGCTTCAAAATTCTGAGCACATGTGTAAAGTAGCACGCACAAGCTCAGGAGAAATATGAGAGGGATCCAAGTCACTGAACATGGGGTGTTGCATGAGCAGAAAGTAAAAGGACAGGCAGACTGTAAAGTGCCTGAACTGGAAAGTATTCCCCAAACCACAGACACAGCCATTACAAAGAATGGAAGTCTTAACTGGCTCAACAGGCTTAAGAACAACTTCCAACCAATCATTAGCCAATCACTAAATTATGCTGTTCCAGGATTGACCCTTAGGAAGCTAAGTTTTAAAGTAAAAACAATAATTAAAAAAAAAAAAATAAAAGACAAGCATTTACATCACTGGCCACACACTACAGGAAAGACAGACTCTATTGAATTAGTCCATGACAGCCACTGGAAAAATTAACAGTCAGACAAATAACAGCACCATCAACAACTTTCAGTGCCATCATCATTCTGGATTGCTTCAACATACTATCTAAAATGTCCAGTTTTCAGCAACAACAGCAAAATTACAAGATAGGCAAAGAAACGGGCAAGTGACCCCATACAGACTGATAAAAAGCCATCAGTAAAACTGCCTCTGTAAGTCTAAGATGTTAAACTTAGCAAACAAAGAATTCAAAATAGCTGCTATAAATATGTTCATAGAGCTAAAAAAATGCTTAGAAAATCAAGTTATAATATGACAACAATAATCAACTAGTATAGTATAGAATATCAATAAAGAGGCAGAGATTTTTATTTTTTATTTTATTTTATTTTATTTTATTTTGAGATGGAATCTCACTCTGTCACCCAGGCTGGAGTGCAATGGTGCGATCTCAGCTCACTGCAACCTCTTCCTCCCAGGTTCAAGCCATTCTCCTGCCTCAGCCTCCCGAGTAGCTGGGATTACAGGCGCCACCAGCATGCCCAGCTAATTTTTTTTATTTTTGGTAGAGAGGGGGTTTCACTATGTTGGCCAAGCTGGTCTCGAACTTCTGACCTCGTGATCTGCCCACCTCAGCCTCCTAAAGTGTTGGGATTACAGGTGTGAGCCACTGTGCCCGGCCTGGCAGAGATTTTTAAAAGCATCAAATAGAAATTATGGTTTTTAAATTACAATAAAAGAAACAGGGAAAAAATCACTAAAAGAGCTCAACACAAGATTTGAGCTGGCAGAAAAAAATATGGAACTAATCTGATGATATTTTAATAGAAATATCCAATGTGAAGAGCAGAAAGGAAAAGAGAAACAAGAAAAATGCATAAATAAAAAATATGTCAAAATGTACTAAAGTTAAGGTTTTTTAAAAAGAAGGGGTAATTATTTTTTAAGACCTCCCCTCCATATCTTCTATTTGATAGTGTCAATTCCAGTGTGGTACAGGGAACAACCTCAAATTTCAGAAAAGCATGTGGCAAATAATTGAATAATTTTTTTTAATTCATATATGCAGAAACCCAGTCCATATAAATGGACTCTCAAAATGTTAGTCCAAGAATAATTTACTATATCATTAGAATGAGTTGACTTTATTTATCTGGGTCTATTTAAATGATTTTGGATTTTAAAAGCTAGCTTACATAGTTGGCAATGACTCTTAACAGTTTAAAACATTGATTGAAACTTGAACTTAAATTGTGTTAGCTTAGATTCAATTAGGTTGAGATACTAAAAATGTCCCAGAATAATGGAGAGGAGAAAACTCAAAGGTTTAGGGAAGTAGGAATGCTGGGTATATTTTTCATGTGCTGCTGGCACAACCATCTGCTTGATACATGCTCTTGCAGGTCAAAAGCATACTCACTTCAGTTAAGCTTAAGCTGCATTAATGAGACAAGCAACATTATCCTCATAAACTCTGCTGTGGTGAGTGTGTAGACCATAAATTATGTTGGGAAAGACATCCCTGAAATGAATAACGTGATTTCCATGAGTGTGATTACATCCAGAGCAGCAGAAACAAGATATTAGTACTCAGCAATTAGAGACAAAGTAAGTTTAAATACAATTATACAAAGCAAGAATAAGGTAGTAATTGAAATGCTTTGATCTACATCTTCTTTGCAGTGATCAATGAATGATGGATTACTGGCAATAAAATATGGGGTCAATATACTAAATTACTATTTCACATATATTTTAGAAAATATCTTTAGGTTTAATAAATCTTATTTGTGTCGCCACATGGAGAGTAATAACCTTGCAATAAACTATGGACCTTAGTTTATTCAAAGTTCTGTAATCACTTGATTCAATGTAAAGCTAGATTTCCTCATAGAAAGACCCTTATCACTGACAAATATATGCTATAATTATGTCTCCAATGCTATTCCTAAAGGAACTGAGGTCATTTGCAAAGGTGACAGAATGCTAGAAATGGGTACTATTCAAAACTTTTGAGGCTTAATAGATATAACTTTGATTTAATGCTATTTTCCAAAGATCAAAAACAATACTCTGCCTATAGTCACCTGAAGATGAATGGAGTTTTGGTACAAGTTCATCTCACAATGGTATAAGCGGCTTGCAAAGACACCCTGTAATTATTTCAGAAATTCCTAGATGAATAATTGAAATAAGCATAATCTATGGCTTTCAGAATCCTAACAAACATTAGCTCCTGAACCTATAGATTGAGAAATACTTGTATTTACTCTACATTTTTGCCAAACCCAGTTCACGTCTTCTTGTCCAAATAGAATTACTGCATTCCCTTTCACTCAGAAAAGTATCTGGGTATGCATAATAAATTAAATGTTCACCCTAGCTATTATAGTATGAATAATACTATAAATTACTCTTACCAAGATAATGAAAATATATGATAATAGCACATATTTGGAGGAAATGCAAAACTTAGTGCCACAATTAAGACTTGGAAGATACAGAGATGAGGATTCTTATTCACATTCTCATGTAACTTGACTGTTTTTCTTGTGCAAGAGTCAATGGATCTTTTCAATAATGTGTGGATTATAATAATCTTACTCAGAAGCAAATGCTTCTCCAGGCATGTTATATCACCTACAGCAATTTTTACCTGACACTTGGTTTACAGCTATTGATTTGACAAATGCCTCTTCTCCTTTACACCGAATTACATGCAACACCTTGAGTTGTTTGCTATCATCTGGCTGGGACAACGGGACAATTTTATGGTCTTGCCTCAGGGCTATGCCAGCTCTCATATTCTTATCCATAATCTCCTCCAGTGCTATCTGGCATCTAGTGTCTGGACTTATGTCAGTCTGTAACGAGGTAAGTCAAAGTTTTATTCAGTGTGTACTTCTCTCATTGTAGGCCAATAAATACACAGTTTTTAAATCAGTGCCAGACCACAGATCATACTTTGAGTACCACTGATCAAGTTCATCAAGAAATTAATTGCTAGCCACAGACAGTCACAGTGGTCAATTGAATTCATGACATGACGCTGATTGGGCTGAATAAGAAAAAAAAGTAGCAAGTCTATGAGATGTATTGGTATGTTACATATATCCCAGATAATAGGAAACAAAGCTATTCATCTTAGTAAAATTTATGTTCAGTGGTCTTGACTTGGAAAAAACAGACCCTCCACAGTCAAAGCCAGTTTATTACATCATGCATTGACTATGACTGAAAAAGTGGGACAACTTTTTTTTTTTTTTTTTGAGATGGAGTCTCGCTCTGTCACCCAGGCTGAAGTGCAGTGGCACGATCTCAGCTCACTGCAACCTCCGCCTCCCAGGTTCAAGCAACTCTCCTGCCTCAGCCTCCCGAGTGGCTGGGATTACAGGCACGTGCCACCACGCCCAGCTAATTTTTGTATTTTTAGTGGAGATGGGGTTTCACTATGCTGGTCTTGAACTCCTGACCTTGTGATCCACCTGCCTCAGCCTCCTTTTAATGGGACTTTTTTTTTTAAGTTTTAGAGGGAATAAAATTATGTATGTATGTTTCTGTGGCTCATTAATGAGTTAACCACAAAGTTGCTGTTTTAAGTTGGGCATGGAGCAAGAGAAGGCCCTGCAGCAATTTTAGGCTACTATAAAAGCTATTCTGACATTTTTGTTTCATAGCCAAGCAGATCTGAATATCTCAGTATCCTTGACAAACAGAATACTGTATAGATCTACCATAATGCCTTAAATGGAGAATCACTACAGGAACGTCCATCGTGTTGGAGAAAGGCCAGACTCTTTTTCTCCACTTTCGTGAAACAACTTCTGTCTTATCACTGGAATTTGGCAGAAAATAAATATTGATCATACAATCAGTAAACTTCTGTTTATAAATTGGTTTCCATTTGATTCAACATGTTATAAAATTTGTCATGCACAAATATAAATGATCATCAAGTAGAAATAGCATATAAATGACCAGGCTTGTATATGTCTTTCTGATAAAAATAAATTACAGAGGCATATGGCTCAGTCTCCCACTGCACCAGAACTTTCTACATTACCTCTTTTGCTTCATTCCACAGCAATGGACCTGTAGGAAGTTTCTCAACACCAGTGGCTTAAAGAAGAAGAACAAAAAATTAAGTCTGGTTACAGATAAATTTGCTGGCATCAATGAAAACATTTGGTGCAGCATTAACATTCTAATTGAAAGTGTTCCTGACACACTGGTGAAAGGAAACATCTCTTAAAGTAGAACTTTGAGTACTACATCTGGTTTTCCTGTTTTAACTGAAATAGCACAGAATCACAAGGGCAACAGTGGTTAAAAGTTTGACCAGATGAACAGAATCTTGGAAACAATGGAATTGGAAGATTTGTGACTAAGAGGTTCATAAAAGAAATGTGTGGATGAACTTCTCAGAAGGGGTGCAGTGATGAAGATACTTGTATTATGTTTTTATGTTTACAGAAGAGTATCAACAGCAGGGCCATGTCTTAGTAATCAGGCAGACAAGGTTATATGTTCTATGTATTCCACACATTCTCTTTACTATCTTGCTTGCACAACTGCCTATGTGCAAAGTTGTTATGACAACAAGGATGGAGGCTAAGCCTGAGTTAAACAATGTAGATATGTATTTGTTAAGGCTGATGTGAAGACTACAATTTCTAATGGACAAACTTGTCAAAAGTGAGACCATTTCTGAGTCCCTGGTACATTATCCTTCCTCCAGGTGAAAAAGCCACTCACCTGATAGCAGAACATAGCATTGGATCCTTTTCTTAAGAGGAAAATCATCTACTCTCACTGCAATTTGCCCATATTCTGGATATGGATTTCCCTTCCTTTCTTAAAGGAATCTGTTAACACCATCATCTGTAGGCTTCTAGCATGCCTTATCCAGCACCATGGTACCCAAATCCAATATTTTTCTTGAAGGAACATTATTTCACAACAAAAGATATGCAGCAGTATTCTCATGCCCATGCATTATATTGGTTTCATCATACAGCCCATGGCCTAGAAGCATTTGGTCTTACAGTATGGTAGAATAACCTACCATAAAGTAGAAGTGCTGTATGTTGAAGAGATGTTTCTAATATTTATGACAAAACAATAGTTCTTGGACTAATAATCACGTGGTATAATTCCGTGTAGCATCTCTCACTATTAAACTATAGTTCTTCTGAAGAATGTTTACCTCCTGTCTGCAATTCTGGGCTCCATTGATATAAAAGTCTCAATTCCCAATAGGAAGAATGCTTCCATCAGTTGATACCAAAATAATTACAATACAGAAGTTTTTTTTAAAAAATCTTACTGTAGCATTTTACAAATGCTATGCTATAAAATAGTTAGCATTTAAGTCTTTTCTGTGAACCAGAACCTTGTTTATACATGTAACATCAAATAATTTTTTACCAAAAATGTTTACATATATGTTCAGTTACCAAAGATGTTAGTTAATAGCATGCTAGTACCAGGGGTTCAAACTGATGTGCTTTCCAAAGTCTAAGGTAGTAACTATTTTGTAGCACAAGCTTCCATTACATATGGTTCCTCTATGCTTTTTTCTTTTGACTTATCCAGAAGATGACAAGCCCTCTCATGGTAATTAGCATTTATTTTTCATCTCCTCAATATGTTACACTTGTGACACATGATGAATTTATACTTACCAAATCAGTACAATACGTCTAGTTATTAAAAAAAGATTTAAGTTCTAATCTTATTTTTTTCACATAGTTGTGTTATCCTCTTACCTAATACTCACTTGTAAGGTCTATTTAGTTTCATTTCCTATGATTTTATATAACACTGATGACAACAAAAACTAACTCCAAGATGAAAAGTATAGTATACATTTAAGAGAAAGTTAAAATCTAACAAAAAATAAGTACACTTGAAACATTGGTAGAAGTTCCAGGTGATATTCCAAAACAAAGATAAATATCTAGATAATTTAAAAGTAGGTATTAGAAATATCAGGTTTTTATTGTATATAACATGAATAACAGATGCTATACAGAAAAATAAATCCAAAGAGAGTTTAAAATATATAATATTAAAAAATATCTAAAACTGGCCAGGTGCAGTGGCTCATACCTGCAATCCCAGCACTTTGGGAAGCCAAGGTGGGCAGATCATCTGAGGTCAGGAGTTTGAGACCAGCCTGGCCAACGTGGTTAAAGCCTGTCTCTACTAAAAACACAAAAATTCACCAGGCTTGGTGGTAGGCACCTGTAATCCCAGCTACTTGGGAGGGTGAGGCAGGGACAATTGCTTAAAACAGGGAGGCAGAGATTGCAGTGAGCCGAGGTAGCACCACTGCACTCCAAACTGGGCAACAGAGCAAAATTCCATCTGCAAAAAAAAAAAAAAAAAAAAAAAAAAAAAGAAAAGAAAAGAAGAAGAAAAAAATCAAATCCTTCAAAGCTCTTGCAAACATGTATGTATGACAATATCTTTATGACTTTGGGATGTGGAAATGAAAAACATTCTTAAAACAAAGAACACTCACATATATATCAGATTAAAAAAAGTACAAGCACGTCATATGGACATGCACCCAGGCACACACACATTCACATCAAAATAAATAAATAAATAAAATGAACAAAGTGACAAACTGTAGGATGACATGTGAATTACATATAGCAAGTTATGTCTTTTCAGACTAAAATTTCAAAAAATCAGCAAGAACAGGACAAAATATTTAACGATTAAAGTCACATGTATTTTTAAATGTTCACAAAATGGGAAATACAAATGACCAATGAATATTTTTAAAAACATTGTCAATCTCCTTAATAATCAGGGTAATGCTAATTAAAACAATAAGGTGTAATTAGTTACTTGTAAGCTTGGCAAACATTTAAAATAATCTAACAAAATCAACTGTTGGTAAGAACATGAGAAAATGTGGAAGTTTATACCCTGCAGTGGAAATGTAAGTTTGGTGTATGAATTTTCTATTGCTATTTGGTCAGTTTTCACAAATTTACTGACTTAAGACCACACACATTTATTGTCTCACAGGTTCAGTGGTTTTAGAGTCCAAGCATACCAACACTCAATTTAGTCTTCTGCTCAGGGTCTTACACAGCTAAAATCAAGATAGTAGCTGGGCTTCATTTTCAACTGGCTGCATAATTAGGGATAGGTTATTGGCAACATATTTTTGTGTGTGTGTGACTGTAGAATTTACAGCAAGTTGCTTCCTCAAGGCTAGCAATGAACAGAGAGTCTCTGCTGGTTCAATCTACCCTTCAGAATCTCTGATTATCTACAGAAGTTAACGTTTAGCTCAGTTCCAGATATAATTATTTCCTTTTTGATTAAATTCAAGTCAAGCGTTTGGGTGCCTAATTACATCTTCAAAATACCTTCACCCTTGCCAAATGACCTTATATCTTGGCGGTGATATTCTAGCACATTTGCCTACTCTGCAGGTTAGAAGAAAGTTTCAGATTGTGGTCACACCCAAGCAAAGGGAAATAACACAAAGCCTGGATAGCAGGAGGCATGACTCTCTTGGGTCATCACAGAATTCTGCTTATCTAAATGTGAAGGCATTTATGAGAGTAATTTTTAGTGCTTAATTAAAGATATGTGTATACTGCATTTCTGTAACACCATTTCACAGATACATAGCCATGAGTAACTCTCCCACATATGTGCAAGGAACTATGTCAAAGGATAAATGTTGCAGCATTCTATGTGACAGAGAAAAATAGAAATCAATCAATTATTCAGTTAGACTCAATGGCTGGAATACTGTCTGCCAAATAAAGAGAATGACTTAGATCTAAGTAGATTTAGATAAAAAATAATATTAATGAAAAAAACCTCCAAAGCAATTAATACAGCACATTTGTTTTTGTTTTTCTTTTTTTTTTTTTGAGACAGAGTCTTGCTCTGTCTCCCAGGCTCGAGTGCAGTGGCATGATTGCAGCTCACTGCAACCTCTGCCTCCTGGGTTCAAGTGATTCTCCTGCCTCAGCCTCCCGAGTAGCTGGGACTACAGGCGTCCCCCACCACGCCTGGCTAATTTTTGTATTTTTAGTAGAGATGGGGTTTCACCATATTGGCCGAACTCCTGGTCTCAAACTCCTGACCTTGTGATCCGCCCATCTTGGCCTCCCAAAGTGCTGGGATTACAGGCGTGAGCCACTGCGCCCGGCCTAGAGCACATATTTCATGACAATGAAAATATACCTACACAAAGACAACATTACAGATGATTCATGCAGGTATATATAACTGAGTTAAAATGACTTGAAGTATAAATCAGACTCAGGTTCATGGCTCCTTTTGGAGATAACTGTATGAAACTAAGAATGTGGTTTATAAGTGACTAATATTTAATGTTTTAATTATATTTCTATATCAAAATATAAAACAAATAATGCAAAAAACACTCATTATATTATTGTTAGTATGTAAACTTTGAAGCTGAACTGTTTAAAATGCTGACCAAGCCATTTACTAGCTTTGTAAATTTGAGCAAGTTCATTTCTAAAGAGAGATACTAATGGAGTGATCATACTGGAGACTAAAGCAGCTATTACATAGTTGGAATAAACTTAACTTTTATTTTTTTATGAAACAAAAAATGGGAAAACTGATTGGATATATTATAATATAAAGGAACTATGTTAATAGACTGGTAATAATTTTTTAAGTTGGTATTTGACACAAAATAATACTAGGACAAGGAAATAAAATAAATTGACCTTTGTTGATGCTTAAGTTGAGAGGGATCAAAGTCATATTATTTTTTTTACCTTTGAATATGTTTGAAATTTTTCATAATGTAAAGTTTTTAAAGGACAAAAAATTAAGTTTCTTTGTTTCCCAACCATCTTACACCAGAAATTTATCATTCTGAATTTCTGATTGTCCTAGGAAAAAAAATTTTCTGACATCCTTGTAAAACCCATTATCAGTTTATCTATGTTTTAGAATTATCAGAGGACATCGTTTATTTAATATTTGGTCTCAACACTTAAGTTCAGACATATTTAAAACCAACTTTAATAAAATAAGGCAGAAAAAGTGTCAGAAAGTACTAACAATAATTCTGTCTGGACAGTAACAACAAAAACCAGAATGTTTCCTGCTAACCCTTGAGGGCTTTGCTATCACATACTCTAAGTAATAGTCATTCCATAGAAGAGGCCCACTCCTTTATTGTTTAAACAAATTATGCTACATTGTTTATAGATTGTATCAGAATTACTGTAAAGGGTTATGAGTGGATTTTCCAGAATGGCACATTAAATACAGCATGATTGATTCTTTGGTTCATTCTCCCAAACATTTTTATCATTGACAAAGCTTCTTGGAATATACTAAATGATACAGTTAGATCATGACATAAAACACATGTATGCATGTATTTACAATTTTCTGAATGCATTATTGTATATAAAAACTTTATGAACCTAAGTAGGGTTATTGAAATGTTTGTTTTAACATAATGAAAATATTTCATATTTACATTTTCTGAAAAAGAAATGGGATACTTCATTATATCATAATTTTGCTTTGTAATGACTTCCCTGATGTCATTTTAAAAATGACTTTCTTAATTGACTTACTGTAAAAATGTTTACAAAATAATTTTCTCATATCTTTATAAAGAGGAGAGTAGTCATCTTGTGTTTCTTCTTTACTTGGACATATTTCTCATTCTGGAAAAGAAATGCATAGCTTATTTTTTCTCTTCTTACATAGTATATTAGTCCATTTTCAAATGGCTGTAAAGTAATACCTGAGACTGGGTAATTTATAAAGGAAAGAGGTTTAATTGACTCACAGTTCCATGTGACTGGGGGGGTCTCGGGAATCTTACAATCATGACAGAAGTGGAAGCAAGCATGTCCTTCTTCACAAGGTGGCAGGAGAGAGAAGGGCAGAGCGAAGGGAGAAGAGCCTGTTATAAAACCATCAGATCATGAGAGAACTCACTCACTATCACAAGAACAGCATGGGGATAACCGCTCCCATAATACAATCACTTCCCATGAGGTCCCACCTTCAACAAGAGGGAATTACAATTTGGATTACAATTCAAGATGAGATTTGGGTGGGAACACTGAGTCAGATCATATCACATAGTTTCTAAAATTCATATGGCACTTGAAATAAAGAATAGTATTCTTTCAGCAGGATAACTTTACATAAGCTATAGCTTTCCTTCTTTAAATTAATTTCTATTGATTTCTGGTTTATGCACTTTTTTCTAGTAATAAGCAAGATTCTTAGACCAAATTTAGTTGGTTTAAACATGCTCAGGAGACCATCCATGATTTGTGGGTATGAATATTTGGCTCATTTTTTCATGAGATCACACCTGTTAAAAAGACCCTGATAATTTTGTGTTAGAAAAATTATTTCATTTTATCTGAACTATAAAAATAAGTAAATTAAAATAACACCTTTGTCTTGAGCCTTCAAATATGATTTTTATTTCCTTTACCAATTCTCCTTTGGAACCAGTTGTACCTTTGATAATTCAGGAGCAGGTCTAAGAAAACATGACTGTGATAATAAAACATAACAATAAATAATTGGATTTGATTAAACAATCAGCATATTAACATAATAATTTTGTTTAATTCAAATCATGGAGTCAAAATGATTGCTCTGGCAGCCTCTTGCTCATGTAACCCATACATGATACCTGTTCTGCACTTCTTACAATGACTTTTTCCTTAGTGGGCATTGCTTCATCTGTTGGGAATCTCATCTCAGGTTTAATCAAATTCTTTTGTAGGTTTGATTCAACATTGCCTTTTTAACATTCTGAGATAAACTGAAATGCTAAGCATTATTGAAAATCAAAACTCTTTTAACACTTCACAGGGAGCTGATTTCTGAGAACTTTATTTAATATTGAGTTCTCCAGCATCTGTTTAACATACACCTTGAAATTTCTGAGTTAAAGCAAATAGATAAATGGTGCATGACCTCTACAAAAAATGTTCCCAGTGGTCTCTTCCTTCTATTTGAAGTCAGATCAGTTTTTATTTCCCAACAGAGTTATCATATGCTGAAATATTTTAGCGTAAAACACAAACTATTAAATTATAAGATATATTCAATAAAAAAAATTCAGTTTACTTTAAGATCTTATAACAAATAAGCATTATGCTTCAAAATCTAAGGCCAAAGGTGCTGTTTTGCTCTGAGAAGCTACAAGATTATATCACATATGTTGTTTGTACCTTTCAGCTTCTACACAGAATAATCAAAATGTATGTGAATAGCCCTGTCATAAATAATGTTTTCAGGACTTTTGTGCATTCTGGTTTATCAAAGCATTTGTACAACATTAATTTTAAAGCATAATCTCTTTGAGAAACTCTAAAACATAACTTTTTAGTGTCATTTAATTCTTGTCAATGTTATGAGGTACATTACACCTATATACATAACATTTTAAAAAATGAACAAAAACATAACATAGGAAATACAGTAAAATTTTTAAGAAATATATAGTAAGTTTTTTACATTCATAATGATTGCATAAAGTCCCTTTGGAGTTATTTTATTAATATGATAAAATGTTTTCCTTAAATTGAAAGTTGTTTTAACAATAAGAGATATGTTGACAATGTCAGGTTTATTAAAAAAGAAACAAAAGAAAAAAAAAAAAATCAAAAGAATTAGAAATTTTCTTTGCCGGGTCATAAGTTGAAGGTAGAAAATGAGATTTTTGTCATTTCTTGAGTGTTAATGGGTAGGGAAAAATCAGTTGAGAACAAAAATAACAATTCTGAGATGCAGAATGTAGGCTGCACAGCTGGGCTGAGCAAACAGCCAAATCATTGGCTTTAACTTACTTAGCCTCTTTGACTGTCCATAATACAAATTCATGACCAAGTAATAACAGGTCACTTTGTATCATGAGGTTCAAATCACTTGCAAAACTTTGAAACTAAGAATATTAAACTTTTGGCTGGGTACAGTGGCTCTTGCCTGTAATCCCAGCACTTTGGGAGGCCAAGGAGGGCAGATCACGTGAGATCAAGAGTTCGAGACCAGCCTGGCCAACATGGTGAAACTCCATCTCTATTAAAAATACAAAAACTATCCAGGCAAGGTGGCGGGCACCTGTAGTCCCAGTTACATGGGAGGCTGAGGCAGAAGAATCATTTGAACCCAGGAGGCGGAGGTTGCAGTGAGCAAAGATCATGCTGCTGCACTTCAGTCTGGGTGACAGAGCCAGACTCTGTCTCAAAAAAATACAAACAAACAAACAAAAAAGAATAGTAAACTTTAAAATTCCCAAGCATTTGCTATACTTTTGCACTTCAAATTAATTTTAAAAATGGGTAAAATTTGAGTTGTCTGATACTTTTTATTTAGTGTGGTATTACCAAACATATCAATAAATATAATCAGTAAAAATATCAATAAAAATATATAACCAACAAAAATAAATGTCTCAATGGCTTAACATTGTAGAACAATTTTCTTCATTAATTTAATCCAAAATGATTTTCCCTATTTGGAAAACGGTGATTCAGAGATATAAAATACTTCTATTTCCTGGCTGTGTGGAAGGGAACGCTATAGGAAAAACTGAGCAGGACTCAAAAGGGTAGATAATACTCCCATCCACACGATTTTCCCTAATCATATGGCCTCACTTACAGACAAGCAAGTGAGGCTGAGGAATTTAATCCAACACTGTGACTAGGAAGAAGGACAAACCAATTGAATTGTCATCCAGAAATTTCTCACACCCAAACTGTAGTACTTTCTGTTTCCGTAAAAATGTGTGTTGGACCCGTGCAGAGTTGGAGGAGCAATTACACTGAAAAGATCAAGAGTTCGAGACCAGCCTGGCCAACATGTTGAGACCCCGTCTCTATTAAAAATACAAAAACTAGCCAGGCAAGGTGGCGGGACACATGGACACATGAATTTTGACCTAACCTGGTTTGTATGCTTATAAAATCAAATGGCAATAAGATTTAATTAAAAACTTTAAAAACTTGACATTTAACATTTTCAAATGAATGATTCTAAATCAATAACATCTGCTCTTCTGGAATATATTTCCATCTTGTTTTCTTGTCACATGTTGGAATCTCAAAGATAGGAATGTGTAATAAAATTAGTGAGAAGAATATATATAGAGAGAGAAAGAGAGAGCATATTATGAAGGGTAATAGATCCTTTACCTCTTAGTCTGTTTTACATGAATAAAGGTTGTAGCTGTGCTTACAGTATCAGTTTCTAGTCTCTTCTTACTGAGTGTATATGCCACGTGTATTCCCCTTGCTTTCATAGATGGAAACCTGTATTTTTGGTTTATTGCTTATTGTAATTCAAGTTTTGGGCTACTCAAATTATAGATTAAATACTCATTTCATCCTGTTTAGTCTTAAATTATAAAATTATGCTGAAAGAAAAGATGACAAAATTGAAAAGTGTGAATATTTGCGAATCACTATTAAATTAGGCTGTAAATCTGACCACCAGTCTCAGTTAAAGACAATGTCTGTGAAGCTAAGAAACTAATAACACTGAAGAATACATATTGCAAATTCAAGTAACCTTTTAAAGCATAGCCTTTTCTTTTGGGAGATATTAATTTCCCATCAGATTTAGAATATCTATATTTCCAACTAAATCTGACCCAGGTTTTTTATATAGTTACTAAACAAAAATTGTAAGAATAATTATTGAGGCATGGATCTCCTGATAAGCCAAGTAGGGCAGCTGAAGAAGAGCTTAACTCAAAAGTTGCTTCTCATGTCATACTGGTGCACATGCAAAGCAGGAAAACAGCAAGGTTATATGGTCAATAGTTAATAAGTCTTAACTAAAGTTACATACCATTAATGGCTAGATGTTTTAATTATTATTGTTTTTGCCAGGTTTAGAGCAAAAATAAAAACAAAAAGCAGTCTAGATGTTTCAATCGAGGGTATGGAAACAGCACGTCTGTTGCAAAATCATTAGAAAAAATCTATAGGGCAGGGAAAGAAAGAAACTCTTGCAGGAGGCAGGGCCAAGAGAAATAGAAAGGAGATACCTGTGGGCTAGAGTATGTAAGTCATCACCCACTCTGCAGCTGAAGATAATGTTGCATTTAATTCTTTTTCTAACATGCACCACCTCAAATCAGCCTAGAGTCACTGAAATTGTGCTGACTCTGTCATACCCACTGAGGACCAGAAGGAAAACTGACTTCTGCCATGAAAGCAACAACTACTGGAATCAGGGCCAGAATCCTTTTGCACATCTTGACGCCATCTTATTTTTTTGCTGACCTAGCAGTTCCAGCAACATTGTGACAAATTTCCCATATAGACGTCTATCTGTTTGAAATAAAGAGAATAGAGACTGTTTTCTTTTGTGTCAGGAGTGTGGTTTTTCTCTGCCCGTGCATAAGTCTCACAAAGGCATCTAGGATACTTGCTGCATCCAGATCTCCAGTTCTAATTAGCATGCCAGCAGCGAAATGGATGGGCATGATGTTCTATGGGCTGCTGAGAAAATCAAGGCCCATGAGTGGTAATTAGGGAAGACAGTCAGAGTATTGACAGACTTTGATTTAGGATACTGCACGTGAACTGCTGTTCTGGACTTTTGAAAGTACCTACTTCTGGTGGTCTTTGCTTGTTGATATAAAGGGAAAAAAAGAAGGCACAAAGTATTTTCCAGCTCTCCACATCAGTAGCTGAATATTCAGTGCTTTGCTCTGTTAATTTGTTCCAATACAGAGATCACAGCTTGAATAACAGCTACAATTGGAGTCACTAACAAATTATTCTCTGTAATGGATCATTCTCTGTAACAGATGCCTGTGATGAGCACTCATAGTAGATACTAATATCCTTACACTTCATATCATTATAGTTATCTTTCTCAACTTCCTTTTGAATAAGCTTCTAAGCATGTTCTTTTTGATTATCCTACATAGCTATTTGGTTCTATTCTATTAAGTTGTTCATGAATCAGTGTCAACCTGTTCCTCTAACTATATCTCTATTGAGGCATAGTCAACAACCAAATGTACTTCTCGATGTTCTGCCTATTGGCAGGATTTTTCCTTCCTACGATCCTTGGGTGGAGCCCTTCAGGGGACTGTGATGTTTCAGCTCTATACTTCTGGTTCATGAGAACCCACTGCAAAAAACATTTGAAACTCTATTCTTTTTTCTTTTTTTTTTTTGTATTTAGTGAACTGGTTCTAGGGAGCATTAAATGCAGTATCATATATGTAAGGAAGGAAATAGAGCAAGACGTCTGAAGTGCATGCCTTGGGAACCTGAGCCATATATTCTCTTAAACCAGCCTAGGAAATATAGTGAGACCCTGCGTATTAGTCTGTTTTCACACTGCTGATAAAGACATACCTGATACTGGGGGGGGGAAAAAGGGGTTTAATTGGACCTACAGTTCCACATGGCTGGGGAGACCTCAGAATCATGGTGGGAGGCAAAAGGCACTTCTTACATGGTGGTGGCAAAAGAAATGAGGAAGAAGAATAAGCAGAAATCCCTGATAAGTCCATCAGATCTTGTGAGACTTATTCACTATCACTAGAATAGCAGGGGAAAGACTGGCCCCCATGATTCAATTACCTCCGCCTGGGTCCCTCCCACAACATGCAGGAATTCTGGAAGATACAATTCAAGTTGAGATGCAGGTGGGGACACAGCCAAACAATATCACCTTGTTGCTACAAAAAAATTTCAAAAATTAGCTGGGTGTGGTGGCATGTGCCAATAGTCTTAGCTTCATAGGAGGCTTAGGCAGGAGGATTTCCTTGAGCCCAGGAGTCGTAGACTGCTATGAGCTATGATCATGCAACTATACTTCAGCTTGGACTCAAGGATTCCTCCTGCCTCAGCCTCCCTAGTAGCTGGGACTACAGGCATGTGCTTCAACTCTGGGCTATTTTGTCAGATTTCTTTTTGAAATGGAGTCTTGCTGTGTTGCCCAGGCTGGTCTTGAACTCCTGGTCTCAAGCTCTCCTCCTGCCTCAAAATTCCAAATAGCTGGGATTGTAGGTGTGAGCCATAGGACCTGGTGGCTTTTTAAAAAATTGTCATAAACTGTTTAATTGAAATTTTGTTTGTAGTGTGTTTCTATAAGACTGTCTTATGAACATTAAAGCAAACACAAATAACATTCAATGAAAGAAATTGTTGATTACATCTTGGATTATGTTAATTAACTGAATCAGATGCATTTATATTTAATTATTTTTTATACTTTACTTGAGTGTATTTAAGAAACTGTATACATATGGATTTCCAATTAATACTCTTTAATCTTAGGCTTTTAATAATCTATGTTTGAACTTTTGAAATATATGTGTTTATATGATTCATGAAAACTATTGTAGACATATATAACTTTAAAAAGTTAATTATTGTATGTGAAATATATGAAAACATAGGTAGGTATAAACGTTTCTAGCACCTCTTTTTTTAAAGGGTTGTTAAAAAGATATGGAAGTTAAGCAAAAACATTCTCTGTGCTATTGAAATTGACATTAAATTATTGCTTATTAAAAATAAATAAGACTAAGAGCTTAGACACATGTGTTCCTTATAGTTCAAACATTCATCTATGGTAATGTCTAACATTATAATAATAACTATAATTGTAGTTATTTAAGATATCTGTCAATATATTATTTATAACAATTTCCCTCCATGAATTTGATTGGAGCACAACAGATTTATCTGTTTTTAAATGTTGATCTTTTTAGAAAAATCACATGATTTCTTGAGGAAGATCCTTAAGCATCTTAAACAATACATTTTTTCTTGGACAGTCTATGAATGAAATTGTGAAATTTGGCAAAATAAAAAATTGTAAATATCCATTTAAAATATCGACTTATTATGAGGTTATTATAACTTCAGAGGTTTTTAAAAATAGGCTGCAAGAATTAACAGGGTCTATTTAAAAAGTAAATTTGAAAACAGACTCTCTCAAAGATGTTGATTTAAACAGTCACATTCAAATGATAATGGTTAGTAGTTTTCAAATTAATTTGGTAGTTATACAAAAAAGGTTATTCTTAGATTCTGTTGCTGTGCCTCTAGGTTGATATAAGCCTGAAATTTTGACCTTAAATAAAATCCTCCTTCTACTTGCAACACTAGATCAAGAAGTGTATAGGTTTATACTACTAGATCCAAGAAAAATGACATCCTGGCCATATTCCCATGTATCAAACAAACAACTCTACTTCCTGTCGAGGTTATTTATTGAATGATGAATAATCAGATGCAGCTGCACCAGAAAATGGGCATTAGCCATGTAACCTTGAGGGTGCTTTTTAATTAGCAAGAGAACACTCAGAAGGGATTCCGAAGGTTTCCCTGAACTGGAAACATTTAAACCCACACAGTCTTATCACTTGTGAACATCCAGAATCCCAGTGCAGAGAAACTGTGAAGTTGTAATGTGTGCCTATGAGTCCAGTGATCTCTACTATACTATTGCTATACATTCCGTGACTTTGACTCATGTTTATTCATTCCTCAAGCTAAATAAACTTGGTATTGGGTGAAGCCTATTTTGTCTCATAAATTGATTTTTAATTCAAACCTAAGACCACTGCTGCTGGTCAAGTAGAGTGGACACTGTAGTTGTAAATGCAGCCAATTATCCATTGATCATAAAAGTAGTGAGTATTTCCTAAATGATTGTGAGACAAGACTAGGCACTATAAAAACAATGAAGAAACATGACTAATGCTTCAGATAATCACATTCCATCCATTTGATGTGAGAAACAATGTAAGATATTTTATAAATTTAATTAGATAAATGATATATTAGAATTGGAAAGAGATGTTGAAGGAAAAATGATGAAAAACATTATTATTAAAAAATACAAAGTGCAGGAAATCTGACAATGGTGGGCAAAATACATGTCCTTTGCTTTCATGGAGCACAAGGCAAATATCTCTGAATATAGGATAAATGTGTGGGAATATTTGTAGTTTCTGAAGCTACAACTGCATCCAAGAGGAATCTCTTGACCATGCTAAGGGAGACAAATTTTATTTATTCTTCCAATGTTTTTGCTTAACTCCATATTTTTATTTAAAAAAATATTTTGTACAAACTGTGGTCCCATTATGTTGCCCAGGCTGGACTCAAACTCCTGGACTCAAGTGACCCTCCTGCCTCTGCCTCCCAAACTGCTGAGATTCCAGATGTGAGCCAACATGGTGGACTTTGTTTAACATTTATTTATTTATTTATTTATTTATTTATTTATTTATTTATTTTATTTTATTTATTTTTGAGACAGAGCCTCCCTCTGTCTCCCAGGCTGGAGTCCAGTGGCTCGATCTTGGCTCACTGCAACCTCCATCTCCCAGGTTCTAAGCAATTCTCCTGCCTCAGCCTCCAGAGTAGCTGGGATTACAGGCATGCACCATCACATTTGACTAATTTTTTGTATTTTAAGTAGAGATGGGGTTTCAATATGCTGGCCAGGCTGGTCTCCAACTCCTGACCTCAGGTGATCCATTCACCTTGCCCTCCCAAAGTGCTGAGATTACAGGTGTGAGACACCACACCTGGCCTGTTTAACTTTCAGAGTGTCACTTAACTGACTTCCCATACACTCATCTGTCTAGAATCTCTAATTACATTCTTATATTATTTTGCTGAATGATAAATAGTATCACCGATACATAAGTTTACATTCCGTCAGGTTTACAATTCAGAAAATAGTAAGTTGCTTTCTCAAAAGCCACTGCTTCATAAATAATCTGATTTCTGTATGGCAAAGACTGTGCTAAGTATTAGGAAAATAAAGATGGCTGAGTAATACCTGCTCTTCTTAAATCATTCAACCTAGAATTCAAATTAGAGTAAATAAGAACCCTGTACCTTTTCTATTCTCTAATTATCACATTATTTTATCCTACATAATTTAGAGTGGTCTTTCTCTGAATTGATCTGAAAATATTAAGTTGCACAAGCTCTGGCCTCAGTAATATCTAGTACTGAAGATATTAAATGCATTAAAAACAAAGGGCAGTTAAAAGTGTTATGTTAAGTGTCATAGTCCCCATCAAATAAACTAAAACAAAATCTTGTTATCACATATATGTGAAAATTATTTGGTTATTTTAAATACAAAAAACTATACACGATATACATCAAAAAATTATACATGTGAACAAGGACAGCATTGCAAAATTTCTCAAGCATAAAAACAGTATATACAGTAATACTTCCATTTTTGTACATAATTATATATGGTTGTGTTAATGAAAGAAAGTTCATTTTCAAAAATTAATTCCTGAACCACTGCCCATGTCTACTTCACGATTAGAGTTAATATTAATTTAACACTGAAAGCAATTAATTATAAATGTAAAAGTATGTTAACATATGAAAGTTTATAGAACCATGGAGTGAATTTTGCAGATGCAAAGGTAATTATAATATTAGGATCAATTTGAACATATAGAGTGGTCTAAAATTTCATATATAGCTCAATATATTTTATAAGAAAATCTATGTCATTGAAAGAAATAAATGTATCATATTATTTTAGAATTGTTTTTTAAGCATTCTATGAAGCCATCTACTTGCTAAGAAAGAAATAAAAGTCAAATGCAAAAGACACCCATAATATATTCATGTCCTTCAGCACTCAGTAGATAAATCATTTTTATTCAAATGAAATCCTTGAGTTATTTTTTTCCTGCTCCTATGTTCAAGAGATATGCTATGGGTATACAATTTTTCAGAGAACACTCTGTTGCTCCATTTTTCTCCTCCTCTGAGGATGAAGAATGAAACTAATGGGAAGAATGCAACCTAAAATGAAGCCTCAAAGCATAATTCACTGAAAAATGATGCAGGACATGGACTATTTGGCAGAGAATTTTCACATGTCTTGTTATTTCTAGCCACAAAGTCCTGTGAGATTTTTCTCCTTATCATACAGAATGTTCAATGTACTAACTAACGGTAAACTTAAGAATTGAGACATTTTATAACTCTCCTATTACTGCAGCAATGTTATTTTCCTCTAACTTGGCTTAACAGTGATTGCCCAGGGAACAGTTTGAAGTGTCAGAAAAACATTTAACTAGGGCCGGTATCACTTACAGTGTATGGCTAAGGCAGAATTATTCACTGTAAACATGGTGACAAATGCAAGTCAGGTGAAAGGAGTCAAATGTGCCTTAGCATTATAATGTCAGTGCTATTATGTTTTTAGAAACAGTGACAAGATTCTTAATAATGAGAAGAATATGCTTTGTGTGTGTATATATATAACGTTAGAATGAATTATCTCCAGGAAAGTAGTCATAAATGTAATTATAATAAAAAAATTAGGTTAATCCTCACATTTGTAATGTGTATTTGCTTTTTAAATTACTAGCATGGAAATCAATAAAGTTCTTTTTTCATTGGAGACTGTAATGAATGGCATTACAACATAAAAGATGAGCCAAAGCAAACATTTTCCCTTTCAGTCTAGAAACAGATACAAGAGAGGCTCCATTTGCACCTAGTCAATGTCTGAGAAAGTTTCCTTTGCAAGACAAAGGTACTAAAACATATATATTTCTTCCCCTTTCTATGAGAAATAGCTGAAATCTCTAAAGAGAAGAAAAATCAGATTGAGGGTGTTCAAAGAAGAGATTGCAAGAGGAAAGAAAAAGATTTAATGACATTAATACAATCTTTGACATGTGTCTATTTTATATTTGCATTAAAGTCATAATTTTACCTTTTTAAAAATTATACCTCAACAGTTGTGTAACTTATTCCCAAGTCATAAATGAGAACTCACCTGATAGAGCAATAAATTGTGTACTGGAGAAGTGTTCCTCATGGGCTGCTTAAATCGTACATGTCTTTTCTCAGCTTCTAAGAGTAAATATGAATTGGCTTCTTTTTTTCTTTGTTCCTTTTTGTATATAAGGTTTCATATTTGAGTATGGTTCTTGTACAATCTGTTCTGACAAGGACACTATTATGGAACACAAACACTTGATACGTTAAATCAATGCCCACACAACTCTCTCAAGGAAACCAGCTTGGTAGCTAGTGGGAAGGGATCCTGTCTCTGTGGACAGGCAGGCCAAGGACCTTAGCAAATTTTTGAAACCTCGTAAGAAAGGTATTCACCCATATTTATAGAAACTAACTGTAAAATTCGATGGAGGGAATGACTTGAGCTTATTTTCTTTGTGTCAAAATAGAAGGGATAATTGTTGAAATTTTTAAAAGTTCAATCCAAGAGTCTGTGTGAAAGTTTACAAATAGAAGTTAATTATCTAGTCTTAGTTTTCTCAATAACGTATGTTTAAAAATAGTCTCAAGCAAGAGTAATACACTTGGTGAATCTATAGAAATAAATAGTCCAAACTTAATGAGAACAGCCCTTTTGCGATTATGGAGATTATTTATGATCATACATGGTTTGATTGTCAGGATAATTATCAGAACCTGGGAGTAGGCTAAAGAAACTGATGATTTTCCTTGCAATGATGTACCGCGCTTTCCTCTTTAATTGATTTTGTATGTACTGATCTACCTTACTGCTCTGTAGAAAGAAAAGTTAACATAGTAGATATTTATCTGTTATAGGTGTAGATAATTTCTGTCCAGCAGGAAGGATAATCCCAAAGGTCATCATTTATTGCACTGTTGTTATTTAATCAGTTTGTAGTTAAATAAAAGAATATTTAATATTCTTTTTCTACGATATCTTTATTACATGGCCTATAAATACTTATCTCTTTAAATGCACTTAAATCTAGTTGTAATATCTTGCTGATTCTTTCACCTTTGAATCACGGAAAATACATTAGCATCCATTGCATAATGCATATTTGAAAATAGACAACATAATTTTGAAAAATATATGGTGAAAAGCATGAATTTCTAAACATAAAAATACATTGTAGGCAGTATAGTTCTGAAATAAAAATAAATGGCTCAGAAAAATAGACTAAAATATCCTGAACAAAGTGTGTGAAATTCTTTTTTATTATCAATATGGTTTTAATTATAAGATAATATATACAGATTATTTTAATAAAGATGATAGACAATTTTATTACATATAATATGCAAATAGGTACACCATGTATAAATGTTTAATGTGAGAGAATGATATAAACCACTGATAAAATTAAGAAATTTAGACATTTAAATTCCCCTATAATAAAAATAAAATTAAAAATATTAAATTGCATCAATATTAAAGTCACATGAGAGAAAATATTTTCATTTTATGAGATTAACTGTAATTCAAATCATTACAGATAATAACCTATATGAAAAATTGGCTGAAAATAAAATTATGAAATCACACAAGCAATACATATTAAAATATTTTTTAAAGTTTTAGGCTCTCATTTAGCTAAATGAATGCAAAGTTAAACAAACATTTTGTAGGATTTTAAAGAATAGTTCCTTTTCAAATTGTTGGCAAGAGGGTGGGTTAGATAGCAATGATAGGCACTGTTGTCTCAACCACTTCTTTTATAAATGGAATGAAGTCCAAAACTTCTGCAGAACAATTTGAAAATCTTTGAAAACTGTTTAAATTACTGACCTATAACATTTCATTAAGAAATGTATTTGGAGAAAACAGAGATGCACATCAATATTAAAATATAAACATGATTTATCATAGCATTCTTTCCATAAAAAGAATCAACATAAAAAAGATTGATTAAACAAATTATGTGAATCCATTAATACTTATATGAATAATCTTGCCAAACATTGTATTGTAGAGGAATAGACTAATGTATAAATTGTAGAAAGAACAGTGATTATCAATGAACAAGTGAAGTATTTCAATTGTAAATATTTGTGTATTGTAGGAATTAGTTTATTCTATATCACACTAGCAAACAATTTTACTGAATTGTAATTTTTATAGGTAGAAAGATGACATTTTCAAATATGTGTATATAGATATAGATATATGCAAAGGTAAAAATATCAAAGCTGGAAACCAACACTTTGAAACACTGTTTTGTAGTTTCCTAATTCTGTAATTACCTAAAATACATTGTTTTGCAATGAAATATGAGACCATCAGGGGAAAAGATTGGCATGTAACAACTTTTGGTTTTTAAAGAGTTATGATTTTGTACTTCAATTTACTTAAATTTAAAAACTGAACTAAATTAAAGTTTATAATTCAGGAACTATAAGGGTATATAATAGTGGATATTACTGTGGAATGTTGAGTCATTTTACCTAATACTCAACATAGAGGCAATGTATCTGCTAGTGTTTGATTCACAAGTATGATCAAACTATGGCCAAATATAAGCAAAAACTATCATAAGAAATTAGCTGGAAGTCATGATGCTAATTGCTCCCAACTTCCGTGTCAGATATGTGGAAACCTCAATCTCCCCCATCTCTTTCTTTCCTCCCTCTTTTTTCTTTCATAAAGCATTTAGCCTAATTTGGTTTTTTTGCAGCCATCCTACAACCAAGACATTATAGAACCTACAGAACTGATACAACATTGTGGATTGCACATTGAGACCCAGAAACACCTGTGTGCTTTGATGACATAATTAAACTGTTGGATCAACCTGAATACTCTTCCTATTCTGGACTTTATGGTAAGTGAGAATATACTTTCTCACCATTTGTGCCACTTTGATTTCAGTTACTGATAAAGATTTTGAGACCAGGAAGTAATGGCATTGCCATGAACATACAATGGAATGGATTTGTCAAAGCAAAAAAAAAAAAAAAAAAATTGCGCAGTACAAAGTTAAACAGACAAGGGAAATTTTATTCAAGGAGATTGTACTGGGGAATTGAGGACAGAATTTAGCCTGAACTCAACTCTGCTGAGATAAAAGGCTGGAGAGTTTTAAGAGCTGGATGGGAGATTCATAGGCCGTCTGTGTTTGCTAATTGGCCTTTATCCCAACGAAAAGTAAACTTTTTAATACTTTCATAACAGGCAGTAGGTTTATAACTTGGAGCAAGGTGGCCACAGAAGTTAAGTTCTTATTCTTTCACAGAAAATAAGAGATAAAGGCACTCTTTTTCTTGATGATTATAGGTTTAAGAAATGGCTCCCTGTCCTTGAGAAAGACCTTACTGGATTGTAAAACTAGCAAAAAGACTTTTTAAAGATTTATATCACAAAGGATAGGAGAAATAATTTACAATGACGGTTGTTCCAAGAAAAGAGAGATGATGGGCCTAGATTTAGGCTAAGGGGACAGTAAGCTCTCTTGCTCAGGCTGAATGAAAAGAAAGGGCAGAAGGAGGATAGTGAGGACCTCATTGTTCCAAGCCTAGGATATGTCAGCACTTGTGCTGTTTGGGAAGTAGTATGTAAGGTATGACCTGGTATCTGTTTCTTATTTACTGATGGAGTGGCAATAATCCCTGTTGCTGGTAATCAACAAGCCAACAAGCAAGCAAACAAACAAATAAATGAAAAACATTACATTTGATATTTCTCAGGGCATTTAGTATGTCACTATATGTAAGGGACTTAGAGAATAGAGGAAGCGTGGTTATTCCTAAAAAGACTGTTTTTCAGAATACAATTAAGAAGTGTTATAAATATGATATCTGACACTCTATATGATTTAAAACTAGACAAAATTTCTTATCCAATAATGAATGTACCAGCATATATAGAGAAGTAAGAAAAATTTAAAAATTATATTAAGAGAAAAACCAAGCATCATGGATCATCTGGGCTTCTCCTGAGTCTCCTTATGTTGCTCTCTTTACAGGAAAAATAGAGCAAACATACTTATTTAGATGCTCCCAGAAGGTCAATTGGGGCAGTGGCCTCCCCAGTAGTCAAGGGTATACTTTCAAATATCTGAATTAAAAGAACTTTATTAAAATCAGCACAAAAACATTAATAAATTTGGAAAAACAGGAATTTCAAGAGTCGAAAACCCATTTCTAGAACACTTCTCAGACTCTAGTTTTTAATTTCCTAGAATGGATCTATACAGCAGGCTCATGCAAATACAGTTCACAGGGTGGTGAGGGTTCCTAAAATGTTTTTAATCTGTTTGCTTGTAAATAAATACAGAGTGGAATGACTAGATGACAACCTAGGCAATACCATTCAGGACATAGGCACGGCAAAAATTTCATAATGAACATGCCAAAAGCAATTGCAGCAAAAGCAAAAATTGACGAATGGGATCTAATTAAACTAAAGTGCTTCTGCGCAGCAAAAGAAACTATCAACAGAGTAAACAGACAACCTGCAGGATGGGAGAAAAAAATTGCAAATTATGCATCTGACAAAGGTCTAATATTCAGCATCTATAAGGAACTTATTAAAATTAACAAGAAAAAACAAACAACCCCATAAAAAGTGGGTAAATGACATGAACAGGCATTTCTCAAAGTAAGAAATGCATGCAGCCAAGAATCATATGAAAAAAAAAAAAGCTCAACATTACTGATCATTAGAGAAAAGCAAATCAGAACCACAATGAGATACCATCTCATGCTAGTCAGAATGTCTATTATTTTTTTTAAAAAGTAACAGATGCTGGCGAGGTTGTGGAGAAAAAAAAGGAACACTTATATACTGTTGGGGGAAGTGTAAATTAGTTCAACCATTCGGAAAGACAGTGTGGGAATTCCTCAAAGACCTAGAACCAGAAATACCATTTCACTCAGCAATCCCAATACTGGATACATACTCAAAGGAATAGAAATCATCCTATTATAATAACACATGCACGTGTATGTTCATTGCAGCACTATACACAATAACAAAGTCATGAAATCAACCTAAATGCCCATCAATGATAGACTAGATAAAGAAAATGTGGTACATATACACTATTAAATACTATGCAGCTATAAAATTAATGAGATAATGGGCCGGGTGCAGTGGCTCATGCCTGTAATCCCAGCACTCTGGGAGGCTGAGGCAGGTGGATCACGAGGTCAGGAGCTCAAGACCATCCTGGCTAACATGGTGAAACCCCATCTCTACTAAAAATACAAAAAAATTAGCCAGGCATGGTGGCAGGTGCCTGTAGTCACAGCTACTGGGGAGGCTGAGGCGGGAGAATAGCATGAACCTGGGAGGCAGAGCTTGCAGTGAGCCGAGGTCGCGCCACTGCACTCCAGCCTGGGTGACAGAGGGAGACTCCATCTCAAAAAAAAAAAAAAAAGAATGAGATAATGTCCTTTGCAGGGATGTGGTTAGAGTTGGAGGTCGTTATCCCCAGCACCTAACTCAGAAACAGAAAACCAAATACCACATGTTCGTGCTTATAAATGAGAGCTAAATGATGAGAGCACGAGGACACATAGAGGGAAAAAACACACACTGGGGTCTTTCAGAGGGTAGAGGGTGGAAGGAGGAAAGGAGGGAGAGGATCAAAACAAATAAATAGTGAGTACCAGACTTAATACCTGGGTGATAAAATAATCTGTACCACAAGCTCCCATGACACAAGTTTACCTGTGTAACAAACCTGCACTTGTACCCCTGAAATTAAAATGAAACTTAAAAAAGAAATTTTGTAATATTGCCTCACTATCTAATACTATGTGTTCTTCTTTTAATTTCATTTTTCTGGCAATTCACTTTAAGTTGAGTTTTTCAAAATTGTTTTCTGATTTGTTTTCCTTTGCTTTTGAGACAGGATGTCACTCTGTCACCCAGGCTGGAGGGCTGTGGTGCATCACAGCTCATCACAGCCTTGACCTCCAGGTATCAAGCAATCTTTCCACTTCAGATTCCACTTCAGCCTCCTAAGTATGCCCACCATGCTCAGCTATTTATTTATTTGTTTATTTATTTATTTATTTATAGATAGATAGATATGGGGCCTCAAGCAATCCTTCTGCCTTAGCCTCCCAAAGTAAAAATTAAATCTCTATGAGAGATTAAAAAAAAAAAAGAAACCTTCACAGATACATCTAGATGCATGATTCTAAAACAACTAGGTCATATACCTACTAAATATTTAAGAAAACTACATGGTCAAAGAAATTTCAAATTCCAAATTGATAATGTTAAAGACTTGAGTCCTTTCTCAGACTCCAGACTTACACCAACAGAAAGTTTTCTCATAAGGATGCACGGGAACAGTAGAAGTGGAAAACTGTCATCCTAAATACAGCAAGAGATGACAATGTTCAAGGCAGAGTAACCCAGAAACTGTCACTGGGTCTTTGGGGTGTTGCTTTTCTGGCCTGAAACCTGTGTGATTGGTGGCACCTTTGCCCAAGTTTTGCCTTGGACTATTGGGCTTGTTCTGCCCACTTGGCCTGGAAGTCTGCACTTGGCTTATGCTCCCAGCCTGGATCCCATGCCTGCCAAGGGCAAGCCAGATGTGGAGGAGCATGAGGTGTATGACAGTGTGAGCGTGGGATCTGGCCACTGACCACAGCCAGGCATGCCAGCTGTGGCAAGGCAGGCAGCTCCAGGCACTGGCATGAGCACCGGCCCTCTGTGAGGCTGTGGCTGGAGCAGGTGTACCACAAGCAACTTTCATGACTGGTAATGGGGAACCTGGTGGTATGCGGAAGCTTGGAGACACCAAGAACTGCAGAGCCCCAAAGAAGGTGTCACAGCCCTGGTTCAGGGAGTTCCTAGGTCTAAGTGCCCCAAAGGGCTGCAGCTCTTCTTTCCTTCTCTCCTCTCTCCTTCTTGTCAACTGCAACGTGGCAAGCAAGAGACATGTTTCAGTCCTGTTTGTGTTACAGCTCTTTCAGCCCTGCCATTTGGTGGGTCCTGAGTTCTTGTCCTGCATCCAGGAAGAATGCGGTACATGGATATGTGGAGGGTGAGCAAGGTGAAGAGGTGCTTTAATGAGCGACAGAACAGCTCAGAAGAGACCCACAGTGGTAACTCCTAACCACAGGCAAGTCATTCACATAACTGTCCAGCTCTCAGCAGAGAGGAGACCCAGAGTGGTTAGCTCCTCTACACAAACAGGTCGTCCCTTTGTCTGCCTGAGTCTGGCTGAGTCTGGGATTTTTATTAGCCTCAGAGTGGAGGAAGTGGGTGCTGATTGGTCCGTGGGTGGCCATGGGTGGACCTGGAAAAAGCACCATAAGTTTTCACTCCAGTCCACAGAACTGGCAGTCTGGGGTCCATGCCTCAGTTTATCCCTGGCCTGAAGGTGCGGTTTCACCAGGGACACGCCCCTTCCTGTTCAGGAACCTGTCTGGCTCCTGCCTATATTAACCTGCCATCCACAATGCCCACAGCACCCAGGGTGCTCATGCCAAGGGGTGCCTGGGGGCCCATGCTGAGCTGCGTTTAGCACCCCCTCAGCCTCTCTCTTGTACTTTTTGGCCACCCACATTCCAGAGGGTCCCAACATGGCAGAGGGCTGGCATGTCAGTGCTTCCCCAAGTATATGCATACCTGGCCTAGTCATGACAGCACCTGGGCATGGCCACAACTTTGCTACAAAATCAGAGTAGGCACCAGGAGTGGGGAGAGGCCAAGCAGTGGAAGCAGGCACTTCTGAGCTTGCAGGGGTGGGGGTCTTCCCAGGCCCCCGAGAGCACAGAGATGCCTGAGTTTGGTGGCTGAAGCTGCACCCAAGAAGGCAGGGCTGCACCCAGGAGGGCAGGGCTCCCACCCCTCAAACTTGGAAGAGGGCAGTGCTTATACCTGTTCCCATGTCACCCTAGCTCCATGGAGTGTCCAGCCCCAGCTGCGCCTCCCCAACAGCCTCTGGCATCATGGCAGCAGCCACTGCAGATGAGCCACAGCTGCCATCAAAACCAGATCTTTGTGTATTAGTACATTTTCATGCCACTGATAAAGAGAAGAGACTGGGAAGAAAAAGGTTTAATTGAACTTACAGTTCCACATGGCTGGGAGGCCCCAGAATCGTGGCGGGAAGCAAAAGGTACTTCTTACATGGCGGCAGCAGGAGAAAATGAGGAAGATGCAAAAGCAGAACTCCCCATTAATACCGTAAGGTCTTGTGATACTTATTCACTAAATTATCTCCCACCAGGTCCCTCCCACAACACATGGCAATTATGAGAGTACAATTCAAGATGAGATTTTGGTGGGGACACTGAACCAGACCAGACCATATCATTCCACCCCTGGCCCCTCCGAATCTCATGGCCTCACATTTCAAAATCAATCATGCCTTCCCAACAGTTTGGGAACCTCTGCCTACATTGCAGTTGGAAAGTTTGGGAGTTTGGGAAGCTCCACCTAGATTTCAGATGATGGAAATGCCTGGATGCCCAGGCAATGTTTGCTGCAGGACCAGGGCACTGGCAGGCTCAACACCATATGGAAGCTGCCAAGGCTTGGGATTTGCACCCTCTGGCCCCAGCCCAAGCTCTATATTGGCCCCTCTAAGCCACAGCTGGAGCAGCTGGGACACAGGGCACCAAGTCTGCACAAAGCACTGGGCCAAGGTCCTGGCTCATAAAACCATTTTCTCCTAGGCCTCTGGGCCTATAATGGTAGGGGTTGCTGTGAAGACCTCTGACATACTCTGGAGACATTTTTTCACATTGTCTTGGGGATTAACATTCAGACCTTTATTACTTTGCAAATTTCTGCAGCTGTCTTGAAATTATCCTCAGAAAATGGGTTTTTCTGTTTTCTCACATTGTCAGCCTGCAAATTTTCCAAACTTTTGTATTCTGCTTCACTTGTAAAACTGAGTGCTTTTAACAGCGGCCAAGTCACCTCTTGAATGCTTCACTGCTTATAAATTTCTTCCACCAGATACCCTAAATCATCTCTCTCAAATTCAAAGTTCCAAAGATCTGTAGGGCAGGGGCAAAATGTCACCAGTCTCTTTGCTAACACATAGCAAGAGTTACCTTTGCTCCAGTTCCCAAAAAGTTCCTCATCTCCATCTTAGACCACCTCCGCCTGGACCTTATCGTCCATATAGCCATCAGGTTCCTGGTCAAAGCCATTCAACAAGTCTCCAGGAAGTTCCAAACTTTCCGACATTTCCCAGTCTTCTTCTGAGCCCTTGAAACAGTTCCAACCCTCTGCCTATTATCCAGTTCTAAAGTCACTTCCACATTTTCGGGTATTTTTTCAGCAATGCCCCACTCTACTGGTACCAATTTACTATATTGGTCCATTTTCACGCTGCTGATAGTAACATACCTGAGACTGGGAAGAAAAAGAGGTTTAATTGGACTTACAGTTCCACATGGCTGGGGAGGCCTCAGAATCATGGAGAGAGGTGAAAGGCACTTCTTACATGGCAGTGGCAAGAGAAGATGAGGGAGCCGCTAAAGTGGAAACCTCTGATAAAATCATGAGGTCTCATGAGACTTATTCACTACCACAAGAACAGTATGGGGGAAACTGCCTTGATGATTCAAATAATCTCCCACCAGCTCCCTTCCACAATACGTGGGAATTAAGGGAGTACAACTCAAGATGAGATTTGGGTGAGGACTCAGAGCCAAACCATATCACTTGGGAATATCAAATTGTCCAACTGTGTTAATCCTGAACCTCTAAAGGCAGATGCCAAGATGGTATCAAATGTACAAAGATTTTGTTAGGGAAAATACCTGCCTCAAAGAAAATGGGGATGGATCTGGAAAAAGCTGAGAGATCCACAGACAGTGATACAAGTTTGACCACAAATGAAGAAGAAAGGAAGAGAAGGTGTGGTGGAAGCATGAAGACTTCCTTCCAAGACTGCTTTCCAAGTCTAAGGGTTTAACAAAAGCTCCAGGAGTCATTGAGCCTTGATCGGGCTGTTAAAGGACTCCGCAGTTTCCCAGGAATAGACCTTCCTTAGGTTCCCTCTGTGGTCTGTCACTGGTAGGCAGGATCAAAGCAAACCTTGACGATCCAGGTGTGACTGGATCCCTCTAATTTATCCCACCATCTTCACATGATCATCTTTTCTTTGTGTGTCTCTGTGTCTTAATTTCCTCCTTCCTATAAAGCACCATATATATCAGATTTACAGCCTAACTCTCATCTAGTATGACCTTGTCTTAACTTGATTACAACTGCTAAAATCCCATTTATAGACAAGGTCTCATTCACAGGTTCCAGGTGGACATAAATTTTGGGGAAACACTATTCAACTCAGAAAAATGACATATGTAAATACTTTTGAACAATCAAGAACTACAATGAAGATCTAAGATTACCAAAATGTCCTCAATATTTCCAAGAAAATAAAATAGCTGGATTTTTGCCAAGTAATTTTCTTTTCATTTTAACTGTTTTGAATATTATCTAGTTAACTCTATTTTAGAATCTTGAGCTCATGAAAAGATTTTTAAATATATGAGAAATATGGGATAAATATTCACTGTGAAGTTATTTGGTAAAATATTTTCACTTTGTACTCTGGCAAGGAGGCAAAACAGCCACCACTCTAGCCCTCCTTAGCTCACTTTAACTGAAATTATATTTTTGTTATATTTATTTGCATATATTTTTACCTTTTAAAAATTTTGTATCTGCTTGTCTATCTCTCCCACTAGTATATCAGTTCCATTAAGGTAGGAACTTTACCTTACTAAACAAAGATGAATAAATTAGGGAATAAATTAGAGGATTCTTAAAAAATCATTGTCACCTATTTTGAAAGAAAACCACTGAAAGACAAGCAAATGTTAATCAATTGCTCAGGAAGCTTTCAATATTATAGAGCAATAAATCTCTTATGAGCAAATTAAGCAAATTAAATAAAAATGTATATTAACTCCATATTTTTTTATGAACTCTAAGTAATAACATTTAAAAATCAAACTTCCTTTCAGTCTTTCAACTTAATAAATTGACTTATAAGTCATTTAAATAAGAAAGTTAAATAAATATTTTGAATCTACTGAAGTCTGGCTAAATGAAAACTAGTCACAGACATTAAATATAACTTCTTATTCCAAGATACCATGTATAGCATCTAGATTTGACATCTTAATCCTCACATTCATTTATAGTTATTTATAACAGCAATTTTTAAAGACATTTTGAATTTCTGTATACAATATTTTAACGATCCCACAATCTATTTCAGATTTGTTTAATCTTTATATATTTTATGTTGAGCAGAACTTCTTGCTTAGTCTTAATCATTGAGTCTGTATTTTATCTCTTTTTATACCTCTAACACTGTGCTAGGCTCATAATACATAGTATAAAATTTTTAGCTGTGTGTGGTGGCTCACATCTGTAATTCCAGCACTTTTGGAGGTGGAGACAGGAAGATCCCTTGAGGCCAGGAGTTCAAGATCAGCCTGAGCAACATAGTGAAAACCTGCCTCTATGAAAAAAAAAAAAAATAACCATGTATGGTGGTGCATGTCTGTAGTCCCAGATACTTGGGAGGCTGAGGCAGCAGGATCACTTGAGCCCAGGAGGTCTAGGCTGTAGTAAACTGTAAGCACACCACCGCACTCTAGCAGGTGATAATGTAAGACCTTGTCTCTGAAAAAAGAAAAAAAAAATCAACAAATTCTTATAGTGTTGATTTATTCTCCACTTATAGAAGACTTTTTTTCTTGCTAGTTCTTTTAGTGGTAATCAACCCTATTGCAATTCTAAAATTGAAAATAATACTGTCAATTTGGGATTAAACTCTGCTAATTTATTAATCTTTTCAAAGATATTTTAAAACTCATATTGTTATATGCCATGGAACACTACAAAGTATTAAAATTCTTTATAATATTCATTCATTAAAATATTTACATAAATTCAAACATACAGTAAAATCATATTTAACAAAACTATAGTATCTGCAATTTCATTCACACGTTTTTCTTTTTCCCACTTTCAGAATGGAGGAAATATCTCCTAATTTCTAAAGCTAATCATCTGTTCTGAAATCCATCTTTTCTTCCCTCCTCTGACCTCATTTTGTGCTGCTCCTTCATGTGCTGTTGTATAACCTTGGGTCAGTGTTTTCTGGTTATTGTTATATGTGATCTGATCACTGAGTCCGTTTGTCTCACCACATCATCTGCTTTGCTAAAATGTATGTCCTTCATTCTAATACAAATAACCTGTTTTGGAGAATCAAACACTCTGTAACCTCACGTAATGCTTCTAAATGAGGCTCTGTTGAAAAGGCAACCATACTTGGATAATGTGTGCAAACTAGTCAAGAAGAATCACTGCCTTTCATGAATCAACTGGCTAACAATTGGATGGCTTATTTTCTCAAGGTATGGTGCATTATATGAGTGATGGACTTGTGGACTTATTGTGCCAATTCTGATGAAGGTTTGTTGACATCAACTTTTCGAGTTATTTTATCTTCTTCGTTGTTAATGGTGGCTGCTTTCTGTTTGGTAATCATACAGGATTCAAAGATGTTCTCACTAATGTATACTCCTAAAGTTTCCACCCTATGCCTCTACACTAAACCTCTTTCTCTCTATCTACTAATCATTTTCTTTCCAACCACCTAACCATCCAATTCAAACTAATGACTTCAAATATTCATATTTAGAGTCACTTTTCTTTCTGGAATTAAAAAAAAAAAGAGGAGGAATGACAACAGTACTAATGAAATTTCTGCCCATAAGCAGGTTTTCTTCTCTCATTTCTCTTCTGTTTTAGGGTCATAACTGGATGGACAACAGTACTAATGAAATTTCTGCCCATAAGCAGGTTTTCTTCTCTCATTTCTCTTCTGTTTTAGGGTCATAACTGGATGGACTATAGAGTAAGAACTGTTTACTTTTAATTGGTACTTACATACTGAGCATACAAAGGCTGAGAGAAAGTAGGGATAACAGATTTACAAATGCATCTAGGCTGATGTTCTCACTGCCTTATCTTAAGGTTTCACATTTTCCAAATATGAAATATTTGCATGGAAGACTACTCTTTGTGCCTCAACAGCATTCTATAATACTTACTTTTATATGAGTCTGCTTTTAACAAATTATCTATTTTTGTCTGAAAATGACTTAATTAGGCTTCTTCATTAAATGATGTTTTAATTGGATAAAGGCTTTTAGGATGGCATTTACTAACTTTTAGCATTTTAAAGATAAATATCTTTTGGATTCCATTACTTCTGTTACAAAGTCAACTATTAGTATTATTTTGAGTCCATTGAAGGAGGTACATTTTTTTTAATAAGCCCTCAGGCTAATTTTTTAAATTTTCACTTTGTCTTTCACTAGTTTTTATATGATGGGCCTAACTATAGTTTTATTTGAATTTATCCTGGTTGGGGTCTTTATATCTTCTTCAATTCTTATCTTGAAGTCTTTAGTCAGTTTTGGAAAATTCTCAGTTCTTAACATTTTAACTATTTCTTCCATCTTACGATCTCTTTCCTATTTATCTGGGTTTTGAGCTACACATATGTTAGAACTTTTATCACATCCTGTATTTTCTTAAGCTTCTGTTACTTAAGAGAAGATTTAGTTCCTTCTGTTGAGCAGCTAGTAGATAACATGAATCCAATAAGAAATTGAGGTAATGCATAGCTGGTCTTTTTTAGTTACCCTTTATTCCCACGTTTTGCCTTTATGTGACCCATTGAAAGTAATGGACTCCAGCTTTTCTCTCAATCCAATGTCTGCCAAAAGTTTTCTCCAACCTCTCAGCTGCCGTAGTTTTGAGTCTGCACATACCTCAAAAGTTGAAGGGCTCAAAGTCCTTGGATGTTTTGGCTTTTCTTCTCTCCTGATTTATGCCCTGTAATTTCCTGCTACCTTGGTGACATCCCAAAACATCTGAATAGATTTTAAAAATCATCCTGTTCATACTCTTTAGTGGAAGTGCCAGTCAAAATCAATCTAGTCACCATTACAGGAAGCACATTGTTGGCAAAAAAGTCAGCCCTTCCTATTTGCATGTTCTGCAGGAGTAGATTCAACCAACCCCAGATCAAGAATATTGGGAAAAATATATATAAAACAACATAAATTTTAAAAATACATTATAACAACTATTGACATAGCACTTACATTGTATTAAGTATTATATGTAATAGAGAGATGTTTTGAATGGGAAAATGTGCCTAGATTCTTTGCAAATACTAACACCATTTTATGTAAGGAACTTGATGGATTTTGGCATCCAAGCGGGGGGTGGGTTCTGAAACCAATTTTCTGTGAATACCAAGGAACTGAAACTAAAATGGGAGAGTTGCTTCATTTCCCTTGCAGGAGGACTTGGTGACAGGGGTGTGGCTTGCCAGTTCTGTTCCTATGCGGCTCAAACCCCTAGCAAGAGGAGGAACATGCAGAGGGGCAGGTGCAGAGGCCAGAAGGAGCGCTGTTTGCTCCTGCCCCACCGTAGTGTCTAGGGGTGGGTGTCTGCCACCCCAGTGTTACAAAGCTCTTTCAGCTTTGCTGTCTGCAGATGGCTTCAGTGTTAATCAGCTCAGTGGACCCTCTGCCTTTTCGCAAGGACGGAGAGCCAGTGTGACAGCTTTCTGTATTCGGAACTCTTGCCCAGCGTCCTGGAAACATCGGGTCACACATGGGCTTGAAGGATGAATAGGAGGTTTTACTGAGTGGCGGAAGTGTCTCTCAGCAGGATGCATCGGGAGCCAGAAGCGGGGGATAAAGTGGGAAGGTGATCTACCCCTAGGGTCGGGCCACACCGCGGCCGGACTCCTCTCTAACTGCCTGGCGGAACTCCTGTCCGCGTTTAGATGTCCCTCCTCTTCTTTCTTTCTCTGCCGCATCGTTCTGCGGTACATCTGCTGATCTGCTGGCTTGCTGGTGGGCTTCTGGAGCCTGGGATTCGCGGTTTATATTAGTGCGGGATAGGGGGCGTGGCGGGCCAAAAGGCAATTTTTTGGCTGTAAAAACCGGAATGCCTGTCCTTATTTAGGGCCACAGGTCTTCAGGCCTGAGGCTTGAGCGGAGCGTTGATGGGGGTGATTTACCAGGAAACCAGTATTTCCCTGTCTCCTGTCGGTATCAGGACTACTATACAGTGTAACATTTAGAGAATGGGTTTGATAACGGGGAATCGTGAAATTGAGCCCTGGCTCTCTTATGTAGAAGCAGCTTTAGCGTTGTGTTTAAGAGAATAAGCATTGAAGCCAGAGGGCTTTGGGATTGAATAGAGAGTCCTTTAGGTATTTGACGTCTCTTTTTAAATTTTTTTAATATATATTTATTATTATCATTTTAATTTTTTTGTGACACAAAGTCTTGCTCTGTTTCCCAGGCTGGAGTGCAGTGGCACAGTCACGGCTCACTGCAGCCTGAACCTCCTGGGCTCAAGCAATCTTCCCGCTTCAGCCTCCCAAGTAGCTGGGACTACAGGTGTGTGCCACCACACCCAGCTAACTTTTATTTTTTGTAGAGAGGAGGTCCCTCTATGTTACCCAGGCTGGTCTTGAACTCCTGGGTTCAAGCAGTCCTCCCGCCTGAGCCTGGGCAAATTTCCTAATGTACCGCTGCCTCATACCTTCCTCTGTAATAAGGGAATGCTGTTAACTCCTACCTCTTCTATTATTGTATGGATTGATATGTTTAAGCAATTATAACAACATCTGACATTAAATAAACAGTTGTTAAAGATTAGGTTATTATTGCCCCATGTACTCATTGGTAAAAAGGGGATAATAATGACTTGCTAGTAAGATTGCTTTAAGAAATGGAGGTTTTAAATTGGGTGCAGTATGAATCTGTAGTCCCAGCCACCGGGGAGGATGAGGCAGGAGGATCTCTTGAGCCTAAGAATTTTAGTCCAGACTAGGCAACATAGTAAGAACCCATCTCAAAAAAAAGTAGAAGCTTTAGTATAAAAAAACCTTTTTTTCTGAAGCTTGGTAAACAGTATATGCTATTATATAATATAGAGCATATAATAAATGAATGAAGTCAGAAATTGATTTCCCTTTCATAGTATCCCTGAACTCCTTTATGTTTAAGTAGATTACACTGTCAAATTGAGAGTTAAAGAAGGGCTGATTGATGCTCTGATCCTTGTTTTTAAGATGATTACTTGTCATTAAAATCAAATTAGAAATGATAGGAAATTGAATAGTCTCTCATTGGGAAGCACTTTTTCGTAACTGCATGATCGATCATGCACAGCTAAAGAAAAATTGTATTTACTTTTCAAGTCAAAGGTCAGAGATCTGTAGGCAGTTATATTTTTAAAGAAAGTAATTTTAAAAATTTTATGCATTGATACATTTATTATTGTATTAATAATTGTAAATGTTTTTTGTAAGTAAAAAGTAGTAAAGTTTCTCATAATAATGATCAGAGATATTATGATATAAAATTAGATTATGCACACTTTTGTCTAGCCTCATAATTACTGTAACTATAGAATACTAAATTACAATTCAGTGTTACCATGAAAAATGATCATTACTTGACACTATGTTTTGCAAGAATTTTATTAGTCTTTGAAGAAGCTCATCAAGTGTTCAAACAATTACCCTCTGAGAGGATAATAATAGATTTTGGATAGGAAAAAAACAACAAGAACAGCAACAAAATGTGTGTAATGATATAACTGTAACTTCTGCATTTAAGTTCAGAGAAAAAAAACAGTAATTTATATATATTGTCCAATAATTAAAAATGCAAAACATAAACCAGAACAGTTGAATTCAGGATGTTAAACACAGAAATTAGAAGACAGGTATTAGAAAACTGTATATAGATCTTATAATCCTAAATTTATTTGATCTTAAATGTAACCTAAAAATAGAAGGTGCAAAATAGGAGGTTAACAAATTATAATTTGTTGTAAAATTTCAGAAATGTAAAAAGGAAGAGAGCAATATAACAACCACCATATGCCATTACTTAGGTTAAGTAAGTTACAAATATATGGATTAAGTATCCTTGTGTGCACCTAAGCAAGCTCACTCCCAACTCAAACACCTACCTTCACGAGAGCTAGCCAATCTCCTAAATTTGGTGTTTTTCATTTACATGCATGTCTTTAAACATTTACTTCGCATGATTATATACTTAAACACTACATAGTATTTTTGCTTATAACTTTAATAATGTATTTTAAATTTAATTTATATTTTACGTTCTGGGAAATAATGGTTTTTTACATTATACAACTAACATTTCAGTCAATAACTATATGCCTTATCCATGTTGATATGTGTAGTTCGAGGTAGTTTACTTTCACTGCTATATATTTCATTTTATAGATGTGCCATAATTAATGATTTATTTCCTTGTTGATAGTATTTGCTTCCAATATTTTGCTTCCCAAACAGTAGACACCAGCCATGTGTAGTACTGGGTACTTAAACTGTAACTCCTGTGGCTGAAGCACTGAATATTTACCTTCATTTAATTTTAATAAATATGAGTATAAATTGTAATAGCCACACATGGTTAGTCACTATGACATAGTACTAAGTACTATACTACAAAGGTACTGTACTACTAGAAGTGGTACCACTGGAATAGATGTCTTTTTCACTTGGGCTGCTAAACAAATCACCATAGGTGGAGATTTAACATCAATTCATTTTTCACAGTTCTGGGGGCTGGAAATCAGAGAACATGATACCAGCATATTGGGTTCCGGTAAGAGCTCTCTTCAGGGTTGCAGACTGCTGAGTTTTTGTATTCTCATGTGGTAGAAGGAGAGTGAACCAGCTCTACAGTTTCTTCTTATAAGGGCACTAATCCCATTCATGAGGGCTTAACCCTCATGATCTCATTTTCGCACAAAGACTGCACCTCTAAATACTATTTTATTGGGAATTAGGGATTCGTCATATGGATTTGGAGGGGACACAATCATTCAGTCCATGACAATAGGTATATTTATCTTCAACTTTACTATTTTAAATTGCTTGAATAGTGTTCAATTTAAATTTTCTCCAGCACATAAAAGAATACCTGTTTTATTTTCATATCTTTGCCAATTCTTGGTATTATCAGTCAAAATGATGAGTTCAAAATTGTTTACCTTTTAAAATAAAGTTTTTTGAGGAGATGTAGCTTCTTTTTACCAATAAAATTAAGTATTATTTCTTATGATTATTAGCTATTTGATTTTCTTTCCTATAAATTTTCTATTTATATTATTTGCTAATTTTCTTCTTGTTTTTTTCTTATTGACTTATGAGAGTTTTAAAATACATTATTAAAATTAATCTGTCTTTAGTTGTATTTCAAAGCCTGTCTTCACTTTTCTGGCCTGTCATTTTACTATTTAATTATATATTTAGGCTGAGAAGACTACAAATAAGTCATGTAGTTGAATTAATCAAAATTTTATAAGGTTTTGCTTTTAGGGTCTTTTTTAAGAAATATTTTTCTAATTCAAGGTCTTCAAAATCTATTCTCCTATATTTTCTTCTAAAATAATTATATATTATATTTTCTATTTCATGATTTAACTCAATTAAAATTGACTTATGCATACATTATGAAAGATAAATCTAATTTGATTTCAATTTTTATGGAAAACATTTGTTTCAACACCTTTTAATTGAAATTCTACTGTGTTCCTACTAATTTTGCAAAACCGTCTTTCTCACATATCAAATTTTCCGATATTCATTGATTTGCTTCTCATACTCAGGTCTATTTTTCTCTTCGTGCACAAATATTGGATGGTATTGCTTGTTCTACTTTTACAATTATTGATAAAAGGCAAAAAAAATAGTGCCCTCCATCTTTTCCTTTTTAAAAAATTGTTTTGGCAAATAGGCTAGGACAATCTTAAGATTTATTTAAAACCATTTTGTATATTCCCTTACCTGTGGTGTGCTCTTGGTTCCAAGCATCTTAATGTTACTGGAACTCAGGTTTGTCTACAAACAGGAAAACAGCAGCAGCCCCTAAACAATGACTGTGGAAATGTAGGTATATGAAAGACCAGAGTCACTGTCTTGAAACAATTGTGAGCAGTTAGTTTACTCCAGAGCTTTCCTATGAAACCAACCTAGATCTATTCGTTATGGTGCTTTATCTGAAATCACAGCCTTGCTAAGTTCCCTTTTGTCCTTGCCACGTTCCTCTCACCTTGGTAGGGAGTTTCTTCTTGTCATGTTTTTTTTTTTAAACACTAGCACAGGAATCCTTATTTTTCAGGCTGCTTCTGAAGAACTGGATTAAAACAGCAGCTGCAAATCCTTTGTTCTTTAGTATATCTACATTCTGCTTGTTAATTTCTCACATGCAAATATGAACAACACACACACATACACATACACCACTAGTGCACACACACACATAAATTATTTGGGATTTCTGATGAAAAAAACACTGAATTTATCAAATAATTAATCATATTGCTTCTTTTTCTCCAGGAACCTATATCTCCACTTTTACTCAGTTCCATTTTAATCATTCAATTAAAAATACCTTTTTATAATAAAAGTCATGCATGTTTTGTTAGATTTATTCATAGGTGCCTTGGAGTTTGTTGCAATTACTGGTGGCATTTTGTTACTAATTTGAAAGAATTGAATTTGCACTAATCTAATATTTACTGTCATTGCTAAACTCTCTTACTTGATACCTTTCTTCAGATTCTCTTTGTATTTCTAAGTAAATTAACATATAATTTGAGAATGATAGTTCATTTTCTCTTGAATTATTGTATTCCTGTAACTTTTCTTACAGTGATAAGATATTAATGAAATTATTGAATAGATTTTGTGATACAAGGTTGACCACTGTTTATAAGTTTGTGATTTTTAAAAATTTACTATTTATATTAATCTTTTGTTAAATGCGATTTGTAATTTAACTTGTATGTGGTGATTTTGCTTTACAGAAAGTCTAATTTTAAATTTATTAGCATTCATTTCTGTCATATATGTTCCATCTGTTTAAGAAATCCTCCCATATGCTGATGTAATATGCATAGTTTCTATATTTTCCTAATATGTTAAAGTTCTACTAAGTGAAGTATTAAGAAAACATAATTATTACACTTGTAAAAATCTATTTTTAATTTTGTTTTATATAATGCAATTTATAATAGGTGAAAATAATTTTGAATCCTTGTATATTCCTGATAGATTAAAAACATATTTTCATGTTACACACTCTTTTTTGTAATATTAATTTGTAGTCTAATTTTTTTTTTAGTCACATTCATATGACTATGTAGGTTTCCTTTGTTTCATATTTGCATGAAATTTATTTTGTAATTTGATCTTATGTAAATAACTTATAGTCATTTAAAAAATATTTAGTCTTGCAAATTTAGTCTTTGTATTAGTTTGTTTTCACACTGGTATAAAGAAATACCACCCAAGACTGAGTAATTTATAAAGAAAAGAAGTCTAGTTGACTCACTGTTCCATATGGCTGGGGAGACCTCAAGAAACTTACAATAATGGTGGAAGGGGAAGCAGGCATGTCTTACATGGCAGCAGGTGAGACAGAGAGAGAGAGAGAGAGAGGGAGACAGAAAGAGAGAAAGAAAGGGAAAGAGAAGAGCTCCTTATAAAACCATCAGATCTCATGAGAACTCACTATCACAAAAACAGCATGGGGAAACCACCCCCATGATCCAATCACCTCCCACCAGTGCTCTCCCTCAATACGCAGGGATTATGGAGATTGCAAATTGAGATTAGAGTTGGGTGGGGACACAGAGTCAAACCATATCAGTCTTTTACCTGTAGAGCCTTTTACAACTAGATTATTAAAATATTATCCTAATAATATAATTGAAAGTATTTTTAGTTTATTATGTACCCTCTATTTATTTGATTTTTTTCTATGAATTTTTCTCTCAATGTCTTTTGTGCCAGTTAATTTTTAAACATACTTTTTTGCATTACAGTTTTAGAAGTTATACATTCAACTTTTATTTTATTTATTGCCCTTCAAAGCTATACTTATTTAAAAGAATAAAAAATATTTGTATCTTTACACTGCTTATAGATATTTCAGAGATTTTTGGAGTCATCAACTTCAGTTTCACATTTGAATTTTAAATGTAATTGATATCCAATGGTTTATTTACACCATTTCCTTCTAAATTAATCTTCCTAATATTATTGTTTGCATAGTTGATGAATATTTACATTTTCCACACTTATTCCTATACTTCCCATTGTCTTTCACACTTTAGATTTTAAGTTTAGGCTTAATTTCCGTATGTTAACATATGTTATTTAAACGAATTTTGGATTTGAATGTTTTTCCTGGTTTGTCATTTCAGTAAAGTTGAAACTCTTTAAAAGCCTTGGATTTAAAAAGCATCCCAGGTTGCACTTTCCAGGTAATGTGGCCACAGAGCTTTTTTTTCTATTCCTGTTTTAACTATTTACTAAAGCCTACTTATTTTATAGATAAGAAAAGCATTATCTTTATTTGAAAGATAAGAAAACAACATATCCTTCCCTCCTTTTTCCTTCCTTCCTTCATTCTTTCCTTCCTTCCTTCCCTCTCTCCCTCCCGCCCGCCTGCCTTCCTTCCTTCCTTCCTTCCTTCCTTCCTTCCTTCCTTCCTTCCATCTTTCCTGTCTCTATTTCTCTCTCTCTCTCTCAATACTGAGTGTGTCTTACTTTCTTATGAGTGTTTTAAGAGAATTTTTGAAAATATATTTTATCAATATTTGGAGGGTTTTTTTGCCAGGGTTTTCAGGGTATTTAGTTCATCATCTTATTAGAAACAATAAGTTTTGCCTAACCTATTAGGATTATGTACTTCACACATCTCTGATTATTCATATGTAAATAAATACCTATTTAATTTCATAATCTGAATGAAAGGTGAATGCTAGTGTTGATTTTTTCTTAATGTTTAAGGTATTCCAACCATGGACTTTTTTTGTCACCTTCCTGATAATTTAGCTTCAACATATTTGTGTTCTTTGCATTTGTCATAAAATGAAATATTCTTCCTATAAAGCTACATTGTTTGCATTTAGAGTATTTGTATTTAGATGGCATTACCGAAAGCCCCAAATCAGAGTTATAGCAAGTGCAATGCCAGTCAAATGGCTGAGGCTAATTGTTGATAATAACAATGTTTCTTCCTATTGCATTTCTTTTAAAGACTGCATTTATTACTGGACATCAAGATAAAACTGACAAATATAATAAAGAGCTAATAAAAGAGATGTACTGAGGATGCCATTCTGTATCTCTCTCTGTACACATAATTCAATTCTAAAAATTGAATTGAAGTCTTCCCCTAGCTTTTTCTGAAGCAGAAAACCATACATAAACCCCGATAATGTCCTTAAATTATAACATATTTTATAGTAGTTTGAAGGTAAACTAGCACTGTTACTTCAATGATTTCATGTGATTTGATTCTGATTATCTTTGTAATGTAGACAAACGGAGGCATTCTTGTTATTGGTATGATTGAGAGACCTGAACTTCAGAAACGAAGATCAAATCCTCAGAGATTCTTACTTCTGTAAGCACAATAAGGGAAGAGATTTTGGGGTCTCTGTTTGCTGCATATTACAAAACAGCAAATTATTCAAGTCTACTGTGTTTTAGGCACATTCTGCAGGGGTCTGATAAGGAGATCTCAATAGAGTGATTCTAAGAAGCAGAATGCATATTCTTTTAGCATAACTGGGCAAGTAATCAATAAAGTAAATGTACTATTATACAATCAATTTGAATTTAGTAAGCAAATTCAGGATGAGAAATCATGTTGAAAGCTGTAATACTTTCTGTATGATCAGAGTTAAATGTACCAACTAGCAAAACTGAATTTTTAAAATACTTTTGCTTTTACTATGCATTTGAATAAACACTTTCCGCTGAAAGTATCAATGTGGCTATTTTATATATAAAGAGTAACACTATCATTTTTAAAAAAACTTTCCTCCATTCTTGATTTCTTGTCATTTTTTAACTTTTAAAAAATCAAACCACATGGCAACAGCAACTAAAAGGACTAAAAATGAAATATAGTAACACGCTAATGGCAGTATCAAATTTTGTGAAAAATTTCAGATACTTGGGAAAATGACAAAGGTATGTGTGAAATCTTATTTGTTTTTTAATCTGAAGAGATAGTAAAATAATTTAAAATATTAACAAAGAGAAGAAAAGAACCAGTGAAAATGTAGAGTTAAAAAAAGGAACAGGTTCAGGTGCAGTGGTTCCTGACTGTAATCCCACCACTTTGGGAGGCCAAGGTGGGAGGATGACTTGAGTCCAGCAGTTTGAGAGCAGCCTGGGCAACAGAGGGAGACCTTGCCTCCACACACACACACACAAATTAAAAATTAGTCAGGAGTAGTGGCATATACCTGTAGCCCAAATAATTCAGGAGGCTGAGGTGGGAGGATCGCTTAAGCCTGGGAGGCAGAGGTTGCAGTGAGCCATGTTCACGCTGCTGAACTCCAGCCTGGGTGACAGAGTGAGACCCTATCTCAAAACAAAAAAAAAAAAAAAAAAAAGGAAAAGATTCTTTTTTTGAGGATGTGAAATATACCACTAGGTCTTACATTTTAAAACAAGTAGTACCAAAAAATTATAGTTTCCTAGCCTTTCCCTTATTTACAAATATCTTCCCATTTTGCCCTCAGTAAATTATGTTTTCCATCATTGAAGCCATGTTCTATTGAGAGGACCTAAATAGGTATGTTAATAAGGTGAACACACTGACATCATAGTCCTTATTTTCACACATCATTAAACACTAAGCCATACGTTATCATTATTTTAAAATGTGTATTAAATATCTGAATCTCAAATTATAAATCAACAGTGTATAAAACAGCATACTTTATCTTTCTTTCAATGCTTGATATTACACAATGAAAAATCCTAAAAGCAGATTATAATAATTTTCTCTTTGTTGACATGCAAACATAAATAAACTGTATGCCAATTTAGTAAAATCCATGTGAAATTTTATGTAGTATTAATTATAAAAACATATGTATATATGTGTGTAGTATGTATGTGTATGACACATAAATGGAAAAAATGTCAAATTAGTATTAGTTAGATTTCAGTTTTTATATTTGTAAAAGTAAAAAATTTTAGTGGGAATGTACAACCCATAGGCTGTAAGTGGAAATGCAGATATCTGCTATATGAGCCAGTCATTCCACTGGAACATAATTACCTAAGAGAAATGAATATGCATACAAAGATTTTACATGAATATTCATGGCAGTGTTATATATTATAGTCCTATACTGGAAATTACCCAAATGGCTGTCAACAAGTGAATAAATAAGCTAAGTATACTAAATCCGTATGACAGAATACTACTTACCAATAAGAGTGAATAAACTGTGGATATATGCAACAACAGGTTAAATTTCAAAATAATTATGCCTAGTGAAAGAAGCAGAGAAAAAAAAGAGCAGGTACTATATGTTTTGAAATATCTCAAACTCTGGAAATGTCAATCTAATCTATAATGACAGAAAGCAGATCAGTTGTTATTGGTACTAGAGTAAAAGAAAGGGAGTAAGACAGAGATGGACATGAGAAAAAAATTCCAAAGAACCATGAGATAGCTGTTGGGAAGCTTGGATATATTCATTATTTTGATCCTAGTGATGGTTTCAGTAGGCATACTTATGCAAAAATTTACCAAAGTGTATACTTTATGCATATGCAGTTTACTATGTCAATAACACTTTAATAAAGATAGTATTTAAAAATATACGTAGAACAAAGTCAAAATGTCACAGACTCCACCCACTTCTCAGCTTCTCAGATGGGATTCAAGAGAGCTTATTCAAGAAAGACAACACCTTTATTTAACTGATGTGTAGTCTCCTAACAGTGCAGTCTCCTAACAGATGTTTGTGGAAATCTCTTTGAGCCATCTCATAGGAGCTCAAAGAGCAAATCTGATCAGCTACCCACACAGGCTTCTGCTGTTTGTCTTGAGCATTTTTATTCTATTCCATGAGGACAGCTGCCTTAGTGGGTACTGTGCTGCTTTTGCATGGTAGTGCCCTTCCTGTTACTAGAACTTCCTTCCCCTGGTGACATCTATCACAGATGGGCTGTCTCAGGCAGGATGGGGCTACAGGATGGAGAAACCACTTCAGCTATTTTAAGCAGAAAGAAATTTACTACTGAAAGATTAGATTGTAACAATTTATTGGAAGGGCTAAAGAAGTAGATTCCAGACTAAATCTCCAAGAAATTAACCTTCAGGGGAAGTTCCTGACCAGGAAGTTGGAATTAGGAGGCTATCACTGGGACTCCGGACATCAATTTCATATTGTCGTTAAGTATGACCAAGTATGATCTGGGGATCAGGAAGACACTGCCTCTGTAACCCGAAATGACTCTCAGCATTGTCAAAGCCAGTGATTGTGGACTGGGAAGCTTCTGCAAATTCCCCAATAACTTTATTCCTGCAAATGAGAGGGAAAAATATGAAAGTGTAGCAAGATTGGCTCTGTCTCATCTTTTGCCTTTCAGATCTGATTGGAGTATTTTTATTTGGTGGAAACTGATTCACCTTCAAATCTCTTGATATTTTCCAAAGTCTAGAAGCGTAGACATATATATATATATTAGACAAATCTTAATGACAAACCTCATGCTGTGCTCTGAATTTTCCCTCTAACAATGCAGGCTTTGTCAGTAAGTCACGTTTGTCTCCCTAGCACTCAGCTATTCTAGGGTGAATTCTCATGTTCCATAGAAGTTGACTTGAAAGAGTTTGGCAGATCATGTTTCCTAAAATGGCACAACAATAACTCCCATTCCACATGCCCTATTGCAATGTGACCTTGACATTCCCCAATTAAGAGATGAAGTCCATTTCATCTCTTTTTGAAAATGTGCTGTCCCTGTGATTATTATGACCCATAGAACTCAAAGGAAATGGCATTCTGAGACTTCTAAAACCAAGCATTAAGAAAGCTTAATAGTGTCCAACTTTGTGTTCTGGGGTAATCATGGCAGCATGGAAGAAGTTGCAAAACCACCATGCTGTGAGAAAACCAAAGGTAGTCACATGGAGAGGTCATGCAGAGAGAGAGAGAGAAAAAAAAAAGAGAGAGAGACAGAGAGAGAGAGAGGATGCCCAACCAGTTCTGAGCTATTCTAGTCATTCCAACTGAGGCAAAGACATACGAGTAAAGAAGCCATCTTAAAAACTCTAGCCCCAGTGTCAGTCCATACAGAACAGAGGGAAGCCATTCCTAATGAGCACCACCAAAATTTCAGAAATAGGAGCAAATAAATGATTGTTGTTTTAAGCACCTTTAATTTTTAGTACAATTTTTAGTATAATAAAATGTACGTGAGGACTAAGCTCTGATTTTTTATCTTGCACAAATTCCTACCAAAGGGGTCTAGGGAGTCATGCCCTACAAACCATAAATTCTCATCAGATGGGTTTTATTTGACCGTATATATCATGACTTACTCTTCCATCTGACTCTTGCATAACATTATGAGACAAGGAAAAAATATTTAACCCCAAAATATATTCCCTTGTCATATCTTGAAATTGCCCTGCAAAGTCTCTTGTGGGAAAAATCTACATCCTATAGAGAAGCCCCTTTCCCCTTTGTTTTCCTTCCTTTCTTTCCAGATCCAGGAGATAATCAACTAAGAGTCAGGCACCCTTTCAGTTCTGATGATAAACATTTTACAACCTGCTCTCTCTCTGAAGTCTGCTATCTGAGAGATTCCTCTGGACAGTAAAACTTGGTCTCCACAATCCTTTATCTTAATCTGAGCATTCCTTTCCATTGGTTCCAGGTCTTCAGATAAACTCAAGCAACTATCAATCAGAAAATGTTTAAATTTACCAATAACCTGGAAGCCCCCGCTTTGAGTTGTCCCGCCTTTCTGAAGCAAACCAATGTATTTCTTAAATGTATTTGATTGATGTCTCATGCCTCCTTAAAATATGTAAAACCAAGCTGTACCCCGACCACCTTAGGCACATGTCCTCAGGACTCCCTGAGGGCTGTGTCATGGGCCATGGTCACTCATATTTGGCTCAGAATGAATCTCTTATAATATTTTACAGAGTTTGACTCTTTACATCCACATTTGATAATATTTTAAAAATAGTGAGTACATTTTTAGGTATTTTATAAGGTTAGATTAAAATATATTCCATAAGCATTCTATTATGAATTAAAGCATTCCAAACTTTTTTCTTAATGTGCCAACCTATTATTGGAACTGATATTTCTTATCTGAACTATTGATTCTTACAAATTCTTGACTTTATAAATTCAGTATCAAATTATATAATTAGGAGTAAAAGTTTGTTTGCAACTTCTATTACTACCACTACATACAGTTAAGAAAATAGATTATATTTTACCTCAGCTGTATTTTAAGATGAATAAAATTTGCAATTGATAAGTAGTGTTGACTCTAGTTGCCTAAATTAAAAGAAGAGCTTTAAAAGCTTGATCAATACTAGCTTTCCTTCACCTAGCAGTCCTGAGCAAATGGAAAGTTATGGTCACATGCTTAAAATACAGTTTATGTCAGTGAAGATTCACTTAGTTCTTTGGAAGTCTAATACATTCTAGGAACAACTTTTTTTTAAGTTAGAAATTCTGTGCATATTTAAATATCTTAAATTCAATAGAGTAAAACGAATCAATCTTAAATAAATTTAACTGCAGTCCTTTACTAGTAAGAGGTCTATTGAGTCAAAGATGACTGGATCAGTGTAATGGCTTTGGTTCTCTTGAGGGTAATGCAAAAGCTTGAGCTTTCTCTTTTCTTAGGATCATTTACTAAGAAAGCTTGCTTAAGCACAACCTGACTTGCGTTGGCAGCGAATTTCTGAATCCTGACACGACAGGAATGAGTATCTTTTTTTAAATCTTCTTTCTTCTGGCACGTCTGAAAAATCCAGCATTAGCCTGAGGAATAAAGTCACCAAACATTACTGTACTCCCAACAGAAAGAAGCTGTTCTGAGAGAAGTCTGTACCATTTAATTGGAGCAAATTTGACAAGACTCGCTTCCTCTTGTCACAGGCTAATACTCTCACCATGTTCTGAGTGATCTTTGAAAAACATATTAGTGCTCCAGGCCACTCCCTGCCCCTCCCTATAGATAAGGCTGACTAGTTTGGAAGTTATCTTTGAAGAACTGAGCTGACAGCTTCAGATAAAAGTGTTTCTAATTTATAGGGCTGAACTGGGAGGGGATGGGCTGATTGTGAGGCCAGAAAAAGAAAGCAAAAGTTGAGGGAAATTAGTCCGAAGTTCTGCAGAGGAATTCTCCATTACGCCTTTCTTATCTAGTTTATTAAAAGTTTGTCTAACTCTAGCTAGCAGAATCTAAGAAAAATATGTTGTTAATGTAGCATTTAGAAAGCAACAATAATGAATACATGTGAAAAAGACCCTGTAGATCACAAATTCTGGGAAAATCAAGAAAACAGCTGATGATTGCTGGGACAACTATGCTCTTCCCAGTATCGCTAATTTTGCTGCAATGCAGTTAGGCAAATGCTCTATCTCCTTAATTCTAAAACAGCTCTCACTTTAAGAGACACTTCATAATCGCTTTACAGGGGATTTAGGAAATCTAGAATTTGATCTAAAGAGCTTAATAAGCATTTTTCATCTTATTTAAGTTCTGCAGTTTTAAAAGTCATGCTATTGGGATGCATCCTAGTCCGACCGTGAGAGATATATTAAGGTTTTGGATCTTTCATTTCATTGAGCTTAAAACCCATTTCTTTCAGTGGAGAACATCAGCTGAGTCACTACACTTGCTCGACTTTCTTCTTCAGCATGTTTCTACCTCTCTTGCTAGCCAGTGAATACTGTGCTTCACTCCATGGATTTTAATTAATTTTTCATGATGTACGCTTATTGATTTTTACGATAAATTAGAGTCTATGTTTACTATATATGAGTAAAATTTAACACTACATAAGATATTGTGTACATTATTTATTTAAACCATTTGTACTAATTTTTAATTCAACACAGAATTCATATGGGATAGAGTTATGTATACACAAGCATAATACTAGCAACAAATTAATGATAATAGTAAATGTTTAGAAAGATCTAAAATTCCTGGATAAAGTATAAAACATAGACTAGCTCTTTATATTTAAAATAAGCAATACACTCCATAGTTCCATGTGACCTACATATTACTGAATAGATAGGTTTCACTTAATTAAACCTGTGTGTTCACATAGAATGTAAAATATAATTTTTAAGTAGGATATATCAAACATGCTACTTCTACATTTAAAAACGGAAATTACTTTAAGAACAAAAACAGCAAAGATTGAAAGAAGGAACTATTTCAAGTGTTAAATTAAAACAAAATCACCAGATCCCTTTCAACAATATAAGTGACAAAATGTTGAGAGGAAAAGTGCATAATGTAGATTGAATCATACTTCAACTGATTTTCCAAATTTGGCTCCCTTCAAGATTCAGCCAACTTTTTATTCTTTCACCATTGCAGATTAAACCATTAAAGGTTTACTCACCTATGAGTCTGATAGAATATCTTATAGAAAACACGAACACATCCAGAGACGACATTTTCATTAAATAACACTTAAGTCAGAATTACTCAGCAGAGGTTTGATGACTTACTTTTCTCAAAAGACATTTATGAAGAAACCAACTCACACATGTTTACATTTGTTTTCATAAAGTATATAATTACTTTGGCATAAGGAATTTTAAGTAGTACTTTAAAAATTTTGTGTTATTGACACTAGTCTTTAGATAAGTTAGTGTCATACTGACTCTTTTAATACATAGCTTTACATGCTTAATTGAAAGCTGCTTTATATTCCTAATATACACCAAATGTAGCAACAAGTAAAATAATATTTAACTAGCTCTAAAAAAAGTTAAATCGTTTATATAACATTAATCTCAACAGGTAATCTAATTGGTACACTAATAAATAATAAATATTTAATAATCACACTCAAAAAAATTTTTTAAATAAAGTCTTGATTTTTTAACATTTGTCAATTTTTGTAGTGTAAATCCTCACATGATGGCCACTTCCAAGCTGCCATCCTGACATTATTGAACATGGAGTATGGAAAAGATGAGATGGTCTGAGTAGGCTTCAACACAATGCTGTGTAAGTCCTTAGTCACAGACTTTGCAAGCAATTACAATAATTCTATACCTGACATGTCTGCTTCTACTGTTAAAACTTTCTATAGCTATGTATAATTTTATGGTGTTTGTACTAATAAACTTTTAAGAGACCATATGAGATAACAATCACATATAAACCAACCAAATAAACTAACCATATAACTAACAAACAAAGTGTCAAATCAAATAACATCATCATTTTTAGGTTGCTCTTTATCTTTGCATCTATTTCTCTGCATTTTACTCTTACAAAAGTATTTTTTCTGCCATTTATTTAGTGTTTACAGTAATTAAAATATGTCATATTTTAATAACTTAAGAATGTATCTTGAAGCCATTGAAGATTCCTTGATGTATCAAAAGTACCAGATAGGGGATATTATTCAATATGTAAAGGATTTGGAGCACAAGAACTTTAGTGAGTGACAATAATATTCCATTGGAGGAAAGTTATATTTTTGAAAAATGTAATAGTGGAAAAAACAACTTGACAAATAAATATTCATCATTCTCATAGTTTTACTCATTTGATCTTACAGTATTACAGAAATGTCACTTGAGAGGGAATAGAACAAAGTCTATTAACCTAATTTCATCATAACTAAAGAGTAATACAAATGTAAGTCCAAAAATAGATTAATGGCATTCTTACTTTAATACAACTGCTTTTTATATATTCAAATTAAAGTCAAGCCATAAAAGAAGGTGTTCAAAATTTCACTTCAAATAATATTTATTCCACATTCCATAGGCATATGTTTTTATGTTTTGAGTCCTGTATCTCTCTGACCTGAGAATAATTTGTGAATTATGCTTTCTTCCAACCTTGCCTCCTTATACCTTCAAATCCATAGTCTGGACTTCATTATAGCACCATCTCATACACTGTTTTATAACTCTTCAGGTCCAGACCATTTTGCAGAGGCCTTGTCCTGGCCCTAAGTTTCAAAGGATTAAAATTTGATCTCAACCCAAATGCCTTGACTCATTCTCTATGTTGCAATTCCTTCTGGAGTTAATTCCACTAAATCCAAGACATGCTCAATTCTCTTTACCCCAGTTCTGTTTACTGGCATTATTGTCATTGTTAAATAAATTTAAAAGCAACAAAGTTAAGAAGTTCTGAGAAGTGGGGCCAGGTAATGGACCTAACACCAATCTTTGGGTACTTATACTAAGGCTTGAAATCCTTTTGCTTTGCTTTGTTTTGTTCTTGGAAATCAAAATATATGAGGTTCTACTGTAAAAAGAATATAAATATATATATATACTTTATATATATTCTTTATATAGATAAATATATGTATATTCTTTACATACATATATAAATATATATAGATATATGTATCAGTGGAGTGACCTTGAGAAAGCTGCAAACACCTACAAATTTCTTCCTTTCTACAAGAAAAGAAATAGCACAAAAATGACTGGTGCCAAATATTCTCAAATAATAAAATGTGTTTAAAACACTTGAAGTTCTTCCTCCTTTCACAGTTTGCCAAAATATGTGACTTCATTTTACTGTTTGTCAGAAGGCTATCCTTCAGTAATATGTTGAATGTTGGAAGATAGTACCTGAACAATTATTTAAATTCAAGAATGTCTAGCAGGAATCAAATTTTTTTTGGCAGATTTACGATTTAATGCCCTATTTCTGAGGATTGAGTTAAATTCTTTTAGGTATACAAAAAACAAAACTCCAAGTTTATTAAGACCAATTTCATATAAAAATACACAAAAGAAAAGGTAAATATAAAGATTACAAGAGGAATAATTTTAAATCAGATTTTTTAAAACAACATTTGAAACTTTTACTTGAAAATTGACACATACATAGAATTATGTTTTCATTCAATAAGTTACTGACAGATTTTTACGTATATAAATAAAGATACTGAATAAAAACATTGTATGTTATCATTAACACATTCATAATAGCAATGTGTTCTTGTTTTGGCATTCAAAATGAATATAAAAATAGAAAAACATACATTTTTATGATCTACATACTTTACCAGAGACACATATTTATTAATTTCAAAGCCAGTAGGTCAGTGAGGAAATAAAAGGAAAAATTTAAAAGTTTTTTTAGTAAACAAGAATGGAAACATACCAAAACTTATGGGATATATTAAAGCAGTTCAAAGGGAAAAGTTTATAACAATAAACAACCACATCAAAAGACAAGAAAAATCTCCAATAAAGAACTCAAATGATGGAACTAGAAAAACAAGAATAAATTAATTCCAAATTCAGTAGAAGGAGAGAAATAATAAATATCAGGGCAGAAAGAAGTGAAATGGAGACTAGAAAAACAATAGAAAAGATCAATAAAACTGAAAGCTGGTTTTCAAAAGATAAACACAATTGGCAAAACTTTAGTTAGTTAATACTAAGAAAAAGAGAATAGTCAAATAACATCAGATATGAAAAAAGAGACATTACAATTGAAACAATAGAAATACAAAGGATTATAAGAGACCATTATGAACAATTATATACCAATAAATTGGGTAACCTAGATGAAATGGACAAATTACCAGACACATACAACCTACTGTGATTCACTTATGAAGAAAGAGAAAATATTAATGGAGCAATAAAGGGTAATGAAATTGAATAAGTAATAAAAAGACCCAGGACCTGATGGCTTTACTACTGAGTTCTACCTGACTTTTTTTTTTTTTTTTTTTTTGAGACGGAGTCTTATACTGTCACCCAGGCTGGAGTGCAGTGGCACGATCTCGGCTCACTGCAAGCTCCGCCTCCCAGGTTCACACCAATCTCCTGCCTCAGCCTCCCAAGTAGCTGGGACTATGGGCGCCCATCACCACACCCAGCTTATTTGCTGTATTTTTAGTAGAGACGGGGTTTCACCATGTTAGCCAGGATGGTCTTGATCTCCTGACCTCATTTTAAAGATAACTAATGGCATTTTCCCCCAAACTCTTACAAAAAATTAAAGAGGTAGGAATTCTTCCAAACACATTTTATGGAGCCAGCATTATCCTGATACTAACAAAAGATAAGGACACAGTAAAAAAGAGAACTACAGGCTGGTATCCCTGATGATATCCTTGATGAAGCTAGATTCAGAAATTCTCAACAAAATACTAGCAACCTGGGTTCAACAGCACACTGAAAATATCATTCATCATGATCAAGTGGATTCATTCTATTGTTACAACGATGGTTTAATACAAATAAATCAATAAATGTAATACATCCCATTAACAAAATGAAGGACAAAACCATATAATCATTTCAGTAAATGAAGAAAAAACATTTGGCAAAATTAACCATTCTTTGATGATTAAACAATTCAATAAATTAGGCACAGAAGGGATAAACTCAACACAATAAGGGCTATACATGACAAACCCACAGCTAAAATAATGTTCAACAGGAAAAAGTTAAAAGCTTTTTCTCTAAGATCTAGATAAGACATTGATGTCTACTCTTGTCACTTAAAAAATCAGGCAGTACATGTGCAGGTCTTTTACATGGACATATTGTGTAATGGTGGAGATTGGACTTCTAGTGTATGCATCCTCCAAATAGGGACTATTATACCAATAGGTAATTTCTCAACCCTCACGTGCTTTCCACCCTCCCCCTTTTTGGAGTCCCTGGTGTCTATTGTTTCCATCTTTATGTCCCTGTGTACCCTTTGTTTAGCTCTGACTTAAAAGGGAGAACATTACTCTTGCCACTTCTGTTCAACATAGTATTAGAAGTCCTAGCAAGAGCAATTAGGCAAGAAAAAGAAGTAGAAGACACCCAGGTTGGAAAACAAGAAGTTAAATTTTTCCTGTTTGCAGACAGCAATATCATATTTATAAAAAACTCTAAAGATACCCCTGAAAATTTACGCACCTAATAAACAAATTCAGTACAGTTGTAAGACACAAAATCAACTTACAAAAATCAGTAGTGTTTCTATACACTAAGAGCAGACTATCTAAAATGTAAATTAACAAAATAATTTTATTTACATTATTAACAAAAATTGAAATACTTAGAAATAAATTTAACTAAGGAAGTTAAATATCTCTACAATAAAAATTATAAAATATTTTTTAAAAATTAAAGACAGAAATAAATGGAAAGATATCCTGTGTTTATGAGTTGAAGTAATTAACATTATTAAAATGTTTATACTACTCAGAATGATCTACAGATGCAATGTAATCGCTACCAAGTTACCAACGACAGTCTTCACAAAACTAGAAAAAAAATCCTAAAATTCATATGGAACCACAAAACTCCAAATGACAAAAGCAATCTTGAGAAAAAATAATAAAAATAAAAACAAAGCTGCAGACATCACACTATCTGACTCCTAAATATACTACAAAGGTACAGTAGTCAAAAGAGCAAGGAACTGACATTAAAAAAAAAAAAGGAAAAATATAGACTAATGAAATAGAATAGAAAGCCCAGAAATAAATTTATATATCTTTAGCCAACTAATTCTTTGGAAGGTTCTTAAGATCACACAATTGGAGAGAAAAAAAAATGGAAAAACATCTTATGCTCATGGATCTGAAGAATTAATATTGCAAAAATGACCATACTACACAAACAAATCTACAAATTCAATGCAATTCCTATTGCAAAAATGACCATACTACACAAACAAATCTACAAATTCAGTGCAATTCCTATCAAAACACTGATGTCATTTTTCACAGATACAGAAAAAAAAAAACTCCTAATACTTATATGGCACCATAAAAAAGACTAAATAACCAAAGTTATCCTGAGCAAAAAGAAAAATGATGTGACAACACACTACCTGACTTCAAAATATATTAGAGGCTATAGTAATCAAATTGGCTTGTTATTGACATAAGAACAGAAACACAGAACAATGGAACAGAGTAGAGAACCCATAAATAAATTCACTTATTTACAGCCAATTGTAAAATCTGATTTTTGACAAAGACATTAAGAACATACATAAATAAATGAACCCTTTACAATAAATGGTGTGGGAAAACTGGATATTCATATGCTGAATAATAAAACTACACCCCTCACTCTATATGGATACAAAAATTAACTAAAATACCTAAACATAAGACCTGAAACTATAAAACTACTAGAAAGAAAACAATGGGAAAATATTATAAGATATTGATCTAGGCACAGTTTTTATCACTAAGACACCAGAAGCTTAGGCAACATAAACAAAAATAGACAAATGAGATTCTGTTCAACTAGAAAGCTTCTGCATAACAAAGAAAACAATCAACAGAGTGAAGAGACAACCTGTTAAGTGGAAGAAAATATTTACAAACAATTCACATAGACAAGAGGCTAGTATCCAGAATGCACAAGGCACTCAAACAACTCAACAGCAAAATCACTAATAATCCCACTAAAAAGTTGGCAAAGGTCATATATAGACAGTTTTCAAAGGAACATGCAAATGGCCAAGTATGTGAAAAAAATGCTCAATATCATTAATTATAAGAGAAATGCAATGCACAATGAGATAGCATTTTACCCCAGTTAGAAGGGCTACTATGAAAAAGACAAACAATAACAATACTGGCAAGGAGGTGGAGAAAACAAAACTCTTCTACACTGTGGGTAAGAATATAAATTAGTACAGCCTTTATGGAAAACAGTATGAAGATTTTTCAAAAAACTAAAAATGGAAACTATTATAAAATTTAGTAAACCCACTTATATGATTTGACTGTGTCCCCATCAAAATTCAAGATACCTTGAATTGTATCTCCCACAGTTCCCACGTGTTGTGTCAGGGACCTAGTAAAAGATAATTGAATCATGGGGGGTGGTCTTTTCTGTGCTATTTTCCTAATAGTGAATAAGTCTCATGAGATGTGATGGTTTTAAAAAAGGAGTTTCCCTGCACAAACACTCTCTCTTTGCCTGCTGCTATCCATCTAAGACATGACTTGCTACTCCCTGCCTTCTGCCATGATTGTGAGGCTTCCCCAGCCATGTTGAACAGTAAGTCCATTAAACCTCTTTTTCTTCCCAGTCTCGGGTACGTCTTTATCAGCAGCATGAAAACAGACTAATACAGTAAATTGACACCAGTAGAGTGGGGTGTTGCTGAAAAGATACCCCAAAATATGGAAGTGAATTTGGAACTGGGTAACAGGCAGAGGTTAGAACTTTTTGGAGGGCTCAGAAGATGACAGAGAAATGTGGGAAAGTTTGAAACTTCCTGGAGACTTGTTGAATGGCTTTGTCCAAAATGCTGATAGTGATATGGACAATAAAATCCAGGCTGAGGTGGTCTCAAATGGAAATGAGAAACTTCTTGGGAACTGGAGCAAAGGTGACTCTTGTTATGTTTTAGCAAAGAGACTAGCGGCATTTTGTCCCTACACTACAGATTTGTGGAACTTTGAACTTGAGAGGGGTAATTTAGGGCATCTGGTAGAAGAAACTTCTAAGCAGCAAAGCCGCTTCAAGAGGTGACTGGGATGATGTTAAAGGCATTCAATTTTATAACAAAAGCAGAGGATAGAAGTTTGGAAAATTTGCAGCCTGACAATGTGATAAAAAAGAAAATCCCATTTTCTGAGGAGAAATTCAAGCCAGTTGCAAAAATTTGCATAAGTAACAAGAAGCTGAATGTTAATCCCCAAGACAATGGGAAAAATGTCTCTAGGACATGTCAGAGGACTTCACAGCAGCCCCTCCCATCACAGCCCAGAGGCCTTGAAGGAAAAGATGGTTTCCTGGGCCAGGTCCAGGGCCCCCCTGCTATGTTCACCCTAGGGACTTGGTGCCCTGTGTCCTAGCTGTTGCAACCATGGCTAAAGGACTCCAAGGTACACCTCAAGCTGTGGCTTCAGAGGGTGCAAGCCTCAAGCATTGGAAGCTTCCACATGGTGTTGAGCCTGTGGGTGCACAGAAGTCAAGAATTGTGGTTTGGGAACCTCCACCTAGATTTCAGGGGATGTATGGAAATGCCTGGATGTCCAGGCAGGATTTTGCTGCAGTGGTGGGGCTCTCAGGGAGAACCTCTGCTAAGGCAGGGCAGAAGAGCAATGCGTGGTTGGAGCCCCCACATAGAGCCCTACTGGGGCACTGTCTAGTGGAGCTGTGAGAAGAGGGCCACTGTCCTCCAGACCACAGAATGGTACATCCACTGCCAGCTTGCAACCTGCACCTGGAAAAGCCACAGACACTTAATGCCAGCTTGTGAAAGCAGCTGGGAAGGAGAGTGCACCCTGCAAAGCCACAGGGGTGGGGCTGCCCAAGACCATGGGAACCCACTTCTTACATCACCATGACCTGGATGCAAGACATGGAGTCAAAGGAGATAATTTTGGAGTTTTAAGATTTGACTTTCTGCTGGATTTTGGACTTGCATGGGGCTTGTAGTCCCTTTGGTTTGGCCAGTTTCTCCGATTTGGAATGGCTGTATTAACCCAAAGGCCTGTATTCCCATTGTATCTAGGAAGTAACTAACTTGCTTATGACTTATGATTTAACAGGCTCATAGGCGGAAGGGACCTGCCTTGTCTCAGATGAGACATTGGACTGTGGACTTTTAAGTTAATGCTGAAATGAGTTAAGACTTTGGGGGACTGTTGGGAAGGCATGATTGGTTTTGAAATGTGAGGACATGAGATTTTGCGGGGGGCAGGGGTGGAATGGTATGGTTTGGCTGTGTCCCCACCCAAATGTCATCTTGAATTGTATCTCCCAGAATTCCCATGTTGTGGGAGGGACTCATTGGGAGGTAATTGAATCATGGGGGCCTATTTTATTCTGTGCTATTCTCATGATAGTCTGTAAATCTCACAAGCTATGATGGTTTTAAAAAGGAGAGTTTCTCTGCACAAGCGCTCTCTCTCTGCCTGCTATTATCCCTGTAAGATGTGACTTCCTCCTCCTTGCCTTCCACCATGATTGTGAGTCTTCCCTAGCCATGTGGACCTGTAAGTCCATTAAACCTCTTTTTCTTCCCAGTCTCAGGTATGTCTTTATCAGCAGTATGAAAACGGACTAATACACCCACTGTTAGGTATTTATCCTAAGGAGAGAAAATCAGTACAAAAAAAAGGAATTCATGCACTTGCTTGTTTATTGCAGCACTATTCATAACAGCAAAGATATGAGATCACCTAAATTTCCATCAATGAAGGAATAGACTAAAAAATGTGGTGTATATATATGTGTGTGTGTGTCTGTGTATGTTTGTGTACGTATTATATATATACATGTTTGTATATATACAATGGGATACTATTCAGCTATAAAAAACATCAAGTGCAATCATTTGCAGCAGCATGGATGGAACTATACATCATTATATTAAGTGAAGTATCCCAGGCACAGAAAGACAAATATGTTTTTACTCACATGTGGGAGCTAAAATAATTGATCTAATAGAAGTAGAGAGTAGAATGATAATTACCAGAGGCTGGGAATGGTGTGTCTGTGTGCAGGATTTGAAGAGAATTTGGCTAAGGTAAACAAACATACCATTAGACGGAAAGAACAAGTCTCAATGTTTGATTGTAGAGTAGGGTGACTACAGTTAACAACAAACTGTACAAGTAAAAAAGAAAAGGAAATATGGGGACCCCCATAATTTTCATGCAAAGGGACAACTTAAGCCTGAGAACTGAATCGTGCAACATTGCCATTCTTATTCCCCAGTCAGAGAGCTGTAATTTTACAACCCTCTGTCATAGCATTATACATATGCAAGATTTCCACAACAACAAAAGGCCTCCCTCACAAATTGCTCACAAGGAAATTCCCTGTTAGACCCTAAAATCTTTCAGGATATATATCACCCTACAAAACAAGCACTGGCCAGATGTAATCTTGGGTCTGCAACTTAAGTTTAACTCCTAAAACTAAGTTATTTTAAATATCACACTGACAATGCCAATAACAGGATTATCTTCCCAGATACACAACAAGGATAAGATAAGATCAATCACTTTTCTGCTCATCCTTAGATGGCTGCATGATTGATTCTTTCCTTTACTTCCTCTTTTTAAATTTTTACCTTATATTATATAAATAATTGATTTACTAAGTGCTTATTAGAGCCTCACAAGAATGTAATCATTTGCCTCATACCTTACACCCCTCACGTTTTTCTCTCCTGTGTGATGTCTCCCCTTAAATACTGAGTTCCCAAAACCCTCTTTGGAAAGCATAGGTCACAGATGTTGCTATGACTTATGTTTTTGCTGGCACATTTTCAAACTTTGGCTCAATAAACCTCTACTGATCAAGATACTTGCCTCAGTCACCTTTTCTTTTGTTGTTAACATATATTTCAAAATTGCTAGTAGAGAGGACTTGAAATATTGCTAACACATTGAAGTGATAACTACTCAGGGCAATGGATACCCCACATACCCTGACTTGATCATTACACATTCCATGCATACAATAAATACTCAAATGTACACCACAAATACATATAAATATCATATATTAATACAACACTTTTTAAAAGAACACACAATGGAAAAGGATTGTCTCTTCAATAACTGATGTAGACAAAATTGAATATCCATCTGTAGAGGAATGAAAATAGACATTTATCTCAAACCATATACAAAAATAAACCCAAAATGAATGCAAGACATGAAACTATAAAACTGCTAGAGGAAAACGTTAGGGGAAAAGCTCCATAAAATAGGTCATGGAAATAATTTTTGATATGACATTAAAGGCACAGGCACCAAATGTAAAAAATAGACAAATGGGATTCTATCAAATCAAAATGCTATGCACAGCAGAGAAAATAATGAAGAGTGAAGGGACAACTTACAGAATGGGAGAGGTGTTTATACAGTATTCATCTGATGAGGAATTAATATCGAAAATATGTAAATAATTCAAATAGCTTAATAGGAAGAAAACAAATAACCTGATTTAAAAATAAGCAAAGAACATGAATAGACATTTATCAAAAGAAGACATATAAATAGCTAACAGGTATGTATGTATATATACTAACCATCAATTTCATGAATCATCAGGGAAATGTAAATTAAAACCACAATGAGATACCACCTCACACCTGTTAGAATGGCTATTATCAAAAAGACAGAGATAACACGTGGTATCACAGATGTGAAGAAAAGAGAAACCTTATACCTCATTGATGAGAATGTAAATTAGCACAGTCATTATGGAAAACAGTATGGCAATTCCTCAAAAAAATGATAGTAAAACCACCATACAATCTAGTAATCCCACTACTGGGTATATATCCAAAGACAACAAAATCAGAATGTCAAAGAGATGTCTGCCCTTCCCTGTTTATTGCAGCATTATTCACAGTAGCCAAGTTAACTAATTAACCTAGTTAATCAATGGATGAACCAATAAAGAATTTGTTGCATATTTACACAATAAAATACTATTCAGTCACAAAAAAGAAGGATGTTCTGCCATTTATGGCATCATGGATAAACTGAGGACAGTATATTAAGCAAAATAAGCCAGGCACAGAAGGCAAGTACTGCATGCTCTCACTTGTGTGTGGAATATAAAAAGTTGATTTAATAGAGCTAGAGAGCAGAATGGTGGGGACAAACAGTTTGGGTATTTGGTGTGGGGGGACATGTTGGAGTGATGTTGGATAAAGGATACAAAATTTGAGTTAGATTGGAGAAATAAATTTAAGCAATATATTTTATAACATAGTGACTGTAGTTAATCACTGTATATTGTATTCTTTAAAAATAGTAAGAGAGTGGATGTTAAGTGTTTTCATCCCCAAACTGACAATGATATCAAGTAATATGTTAATTAGCTAGATTCATTTATTCACAATGTAGATACACTTCAAATTTTGTTGTACACAAATACATACAATTTTATATGTCAATTAAAAATAATTTTTAAAAGAAAAATATAGCATGTCATAGTTTCTTTTTCTATTGTCATAACAAAATACCTGAAACTGGGTACATTCTAGAGGGAAGAAGCTCACCATTCTGAAGGCAAAAGTCCAAGATCAGGTGGCTACATCTGGTCATCTTCTGGCAAGAATCTTATGGTTCATTGCATTAGGTTGGTGCAAAAGTAATTGCAGTTTTTTGCCATTGAAAGTAATAGCATGGTGGAAAAGGAGAAGGGGAAGTGGGCCTATGCCAAGAGACCAAACATGAAGGGCAGTCTTTCTTTATAACTCACTCTAACTAATCCAGTCTCACAAGAGTGAGAACTCATTTCCATGGCTAAGGCACTAATTCCTTTTAATTACCCAATCATCTTGTTTTAATGACATAATCACCTGTTAAAGACCCCAGCTCCAAACACCACTGCCTTGGGGAACAAGCCTCATCATGAGTTTCGGTGAAAATCAACCATATTTAAATCACAGCAATACGGAACACCATTAACAAAAGAAAAAACAGTGCTCATTTCCAAAGATATAAAACCTTATAAAAAAGACAAAAGATAGGGTTAGAAAAAGAAATTATTGTGTAAAAGTTTTCTGGCCGTTGGAATTGTAATAGATGGATTATGGTTTGAAAGATAATAAGTGAGATAAACAAATAAATAGATGTATAGATAAATAGATCAATCATAGATGATTAATAGTTATGTAAAAATAATAAAATAAGCATGTTATTTCAAAGAATAGACTTAGGAAATAAGATGAAATAATATAAAACTCACACAAATATGATACTAAAAAGGTGAACTCTCTTGCTCACTCTCTCTCTCCCCATCTCTAACCCACAGAGTAGGGCAAACAATGAATTTTCTATATCTAAATTATTAAAAGAAAACTTATATAGGTATTTCTTAAATTTGTATTATATACAAGAAATTTTTAAAAACATCTTCAAATTTGAAAAGTCAGGCCAGGTGCAGTGTCTGATGCCTGTATTCTGAGCACTTTGGGAGGCCAAAGCAGGCAGATCACTTGAGGTCAGGAGTTCAAGACCAGCCTGGCCAACATGGTGAAACTCCATCTCTACTAAAAATACAAAAATTAGCTGGGCATGGTGACACATGGCTGCAATCCCAGCTACTCTGGAGGCTGAGGCAGGAGAATCACTTGAACCCAGGAGGTGGAGGTTGCAGTGAGCTGATGCACTCTAGGCTAGGCAACAGAAAAAGACTCTGTCTCAAAAAAAAAAAAAACAAAAAACTCAATGCCAGGCAAGTGAAGATGAATTTTGTTTTTAGCAATGTATATAAACAAAGCTGATATGTGGTGCATTGGTATAAATTAAATAAAATGTTTATTCAATCTTGTAATTTTTAGCTTGAATAAGAAAATGTTTTCAAATAACAGATGAACTAAATTAGAAGACTGTAATCACTAGTCACTGATTTCCTTTTTCCCTCATGAATGCCAGTAATTACCTAATATGCTTCTCAGTGTGGCAGTTTTTGTTTTATATCATTTTAACTTAATATATTTTGTGGTACAACCTCTGATATTTTGTATTAATTTTGATCTAAGGCCAATTTTGCTTATACATTTTCTTTTTCTTTGCATCCAAAATGTTCATCCAAATTAGAGACCTTATTTCTGGCATTAGCCATCACATTCATGTCAAGGAAAGAAATGTTATAGAATAAAGCCTGGTTTATTTTTTATTTTCTATAAATGTGATGATTTTATTGTTCTCTACGTTCTTAAATAATTTATCACTAGACAGTTAAACAATTGAAATTCATGAAAACTTATAATGTTGGCTTCAAGATTAAAAAGTTTAGACATCTTCAATGATCCTTTAGAGGAATCCGCATGGGACAAACCTGGCCAAGACTATTAGTTTATTTTCAGCCTAAGCCTATTTAACATGCTACAGTGGCTGATGTGAGTAGTTGCAAAATAAACTGTATGACCCTCAAAGCTGAAAAAATATATTGAAATAGCTTGCTAACTCTAATTTAGAGGGTAGCACTCAGAGAAGCCTTTTAGACAATGGTGTCTGCAGGGCTATTCTGTTAACTTGCTGGATAGACTAGGGTATACTTCCTGTTAACCAAGAAAAACAACACTATTGGCATTATGTCCATCGTATTTGGATCTACATATTAGTTTATAGATGAATATTGGGGCTCCTCAACCTATATTTACATATCTTAGAAAGTGGGTCTTGTAGAAACTCACAGATAACCTCAAATTAGATTTTTTAAGGATTTCACTGAATTACAAACACTTCAAAATCACTATCCTGACATACTCGCTCTAGGATGCACAACTCTCCCTTTTACCTCCTCTCTACCTCAATAGACACACACAATGTGCAAAATTAAGTAGATGTTCCCCAATGTCTAACAACCCTGCACTGTATTTCATGGTTCTATTTTTTAAAGTTCAATTAGGGAAACAGAACACTATGAGTTTCGTGAAATAGTAAATGGCATAAGATTTTATAAGTGGAAACTAGACCTCCTGCAATTGAGAAAAATGCTGGGGAGGTAAAGCTAAGACAGGTACTGAGGAAAGCCCTTATCAGCATGAAGCTTACAAGAGTCTATAGCTGCTGGAATAGAAATGGAAGAAAGACATGGTCAAAGTTGTTGGCTCTCTGTTGCTACTCCCTCTGTGAGTTTGCTGCAAAACACTTGGTGGTGGGCTGGAATCATCATTGGTCAGCAAGGCCAGCAACTGAGAATTAGAACAAGATGAAAAGAAGCTATAAAATAAGAATGAATTGGAGTTGCCAGACTACTCTGCCCTGGTGCCTCAAAGGCTCAAGCAAGAGTTAGCAGAGATTCATGGCTGCTGCTTTATCATGCAGATTTTTCTCATGAGCAAACCTAACCTGGAATCATACACGGAACAGAATGCTGGGAAACATAGTTAAAATACAACTAAGTTGGCACAGTCTTAAATCATTACACTGACTGTGTTTGAAAGAGGAATACAATTTACAAATATTTTTAGTTATATTTGTGTTTGTGTAGAGTGATTCAATCAAATACATGTTTCAGACTAATTTAGAAAATCTACTGGTAGCAAGATGAAAGGTTTTTATAATATCAAATCAACTGAGGGGATATCTAACATAATAAATAGATATTAGATATTTGCCCAAATGCCTGTATTAATCACGAAAGAGTCAAGATAGAGTAATACATAGTTCTAAAGTTCTGATTGTATGTTTTCAAGTCTTTAGAAAATTAAAATTACTATCATTAGCTTTCAAGGGGAGATAAAATATAACCAATCATTAGTAATGAAAATGATATTTCTATGCAATAGTAAAATTTCTTATTTCGTCTAGACCCTTACTTAAAAAATATATTTCTCCTCTCCTCAGTAAATAGTATAGTTGATTTCCTATTCAATATTTGTGTTTTAGAGTAATTGTGTTTCTTAATTTGAAAATAAACATAATTAAAAGTAAGAGAGAAAATTGTAGACATTCTAACTTATGCTTTAATTGTGAGTTCAACAAAATTATGGAGATTTTGGAAACAAAACCTATTCTTGTACATATGACCTCACCTCTTAATAGACTGGCTGTTTATGCATTTGATTTAAGGAATATGGGGAAGGCAGAAAACTCCTGTTTCTATTATATTTTCTCACTGTATCTGATGACTGATATGCAGAATTAGCCATTTATTTATTAGCCTTAATATTTTTGCCCTATTGTAATTTAAATATATTCAGAAATATAATCAAATAGTATTCATGTTCTCAAATGTATTATTCATGCCTTCCATTCATTCATTCATGCAGATATTTATCAAATATGAAAATGTCTTAAAAGTGTAGGGGCCAGTTTATGAGGAGGCATAGTGAAAAGTAAGGGTCAGAAAAAAGAAATGAAGATAAATTATAAACATTCTACTGTTTATAGCATTCTTTACCCACAGTGGCTATCTATCAGGCACATGTATATAGAAGAAAATGTGTATGGTAAAAACTACAACTAAGGTGCCTTTATAGGAAACATCCTACTTTTTCTGAAAGTCTTTATTTGAGAAACTTGGCTAAAGAAAAATGATTGCATAAAGAACGTAGAGTTCTTGTAAATATCTTTCAAATGCTCTATATCGAAACTGTTCACTTCAAGCCAGAACTAATGTGTGGCTATATTTTAAATGCCAGAGCTATATGATAATTCTAAAATATTGATTCTATTTCCAGCCTGCAAATACGTGTAAAGTAAATTTACTCAAGGACACTCACTGAACAGAGTATTTGTGGATTTCAATTTTCTGTAACTGGATGTTACTCATTGATCTTTTTACCAGCTTTTTCCCCACTATGCTGCAATGTTGATTAAAGAGAATTGTGATTTGAGATGCAGTATTGCTATTTTCTATTTCTAAGGAACAGAAAATATCATTGCTATTTTCTATTTCTAAGGAACAGAAAATATCATTGCTATTTATTTTGTAAAGGGACTGAAATGTGTGGGATGACAAGGAATCTGTCCAATTTTCTATTATGGTCAGCAGCTGCACATAAACATTATGTTAAGGGACTCTAACTATAATCAATTGTAATGGTATTTCCAAAACAATTTCCAGTGTAGTGCATCACACTACATATCCCTCCCTTATTCCTACTATGGGCAGAGATGGACTAGGTAAAATAATATTTACAAAGCAGTGATAAAACAATAGGATAAGTAGAAACACAAATATATAAAACAAAAATGCAAAAATTAATCCTATGAATTTTAGACTAAGTTTTTTCGAATAAATTGTTAAATGAAAAACATATCACAAATAAAAATGGATTTAATTAATCTTGACAAAAATGCATTCTTTACAATAGTCTATTTTAAACTTTATGTATGCTATTTAATGTAATCTTCTGGTTATTAACCTTATTTTTAAATTTACCTTTTATAGTATATACTGTGTTTATCTACTGATTCCCTATTAATGATGAACACACTTATGCAATATCTGATAGGAAAATCTTTTTCTTTTCTTTTTGTATATTTGCATCTGCATCCATCATTGAGAATCGTCTTTGGCTATAGAAAAAGCTATCTCACTCAAAGTTACCAGGGGGCAGCCTGTGGCACATGACTAATGGATAGAAGGATTTAAAGATCCAACCCCTTTGCTTCAGTTTGAGAGACCTCTGTGGAGGTTCCCAGCTATAACTCTTTATAAGATTGGCAGTTGCTAGAGTTGTAACCCTATTTCCAACCAGCTTCTTCTGCCCAATCTTGCCTACCTTAGTCCCTTACAGATTTCTCTCCCGAGTTCTTTCTACAATAAACTTTCTGAACAGAGTTCTGTTACAAGTGTGATGGTTAATCTTATGTGTCAATGTGACTATGCTATGGATCTCAGTTGTATGGTTAAGCATCAGTCTAGATATTGCTGTGGAGATATTTTAGACATGATTAATATTTAATCAGCAGCCTTTGAGTAAAACTGATTAACTTCTGTAATGATGGTGGGCTTCATTCAATCAGTTGTAAGCCATAGAGAAAGACTGGGGTCACCTGAAAGGAATTCTGCCTCTGGATTACCTTTAGACTCAAAACTGCAACATTAACTCTTGCAAGAATTTTCTGATTGATGGCCTGCCTTACAGATTTTGGATTTGCTATTTTGCACAATTGCCTGAGCAAATTCTAAAATCTCCCTCTCTTGTTCTCTCTCTCTCTCTCTCTCTCTCACACACACACACACACACACACACACACACACGTGTCCTATTGATTTTGCCTCTAGGGGGAACCTTGACTGATATAAATTTTGGTACCAAGAAAGGTCCTACAGAACAGAATCTTAAGGATGAGGTTTTGTGAATTGGTTTTGGGGTTTCTAAAGTTGGTATAATATTACTAATAACTTTGTTATTAGATTAGAGTTAAAGTTACTAATAATTCTCTTTAATTCTCTTTCAAGTAGTAAAGAGAGCACTTATAATCTCTGGCATGATGTGGCAATGGAGATGCACTAAATGTCACCATTGGATGTCACCATTGGAGTTGCACTAAATGTCACAATTGGATGTCATCTTTGGATTTTCCTAATCAAACGCTTTTAAGAAGCACAGTTCAGGTAACTAAGTGTTTGATAGCTTTGAACATTTCTGTCAAATTAACAAGTATAATGAGATTGGCTGGTTGTTCCTAATTGCACTAGACAAAGTGAGGAAAGAAAAGAATGAGCTCAGGGATTTAAATTCTCAATTCAAACACTGCATAAATGACTTGAAAATTTCTATATCTTCCATGTAAAAAAGTTTTATCTCCTATAGCTACAGAGCTGAGATTACTGAAGACAAAACCCAGAGTTTCATCCCGCAAATGGTGGAAAAACAGAATAAATTGTATTTCTAAAGTTGCAGAGCATTTACTGTTAAAGTGAAGGCATTCAGTGGGAAAAATAGTTTTCTAAAAATGCTTTTCTGAAAAGCTTGAGTGGAGGCTCCTCACATATGAACCTCTATATTCTACTGAATCTTCCCAGTAGAAGCAGCTGTACCATCTCTGTCTGAGGATAAATCATACTTTTTCCAAGGAATCTGTAATGGCCTTTCCAATTGTAGTTGCCTTGAAACACACTACTAATTCTCCTCAGGAACCACCCTGACAATTTCTGTTTCCTTGTAGTCACATAACTAGATGTAAACACCAGTAGGTCCTTCAGGTGAGGTATAAAATGTGGCCCATGAAGAGTCGTACTACAATCTAAAACAACTATGTAACAATTTATACAGAATGAAATATGGAGCACATGTCTGGGAATGGATATTAAGGATTGAGGATAATTGTGAAATGGATATAAATTTGGCCACATATACTACTATCTGCTCCCTTAGAAAAAATTCTGAACTTAGTGTTATAGTTCAACACAAGCAGCATAGTGAGTTAAAAAGGACTTTAGCAATATGTTTAGTGGATTGGCTAAAACATGGGCCAAAATATAGTCTACACAAAATGAAGTTGAAATTCCAGAACTGCCTTGGCATACTATAGAAGAGGAAATCAAAATGCTTAGGGAGAATGGAATTTTAGAGTAGCCTTATCACACAAGACCTGCTCATTGGTACCAGAAGGGTACAAAGGACCCAACTTTCAGTATGACTGTAAGAAATACATTTGTGACAGTAGTGCTAGCATTGTTGAAGATCTCTGTAGTTGTTCTTCTTGTAGATTATAAATTACAATAACTTCTTTTTTTTTTAGAATTTTATTTTATTTTATTTATTTATTTATTTATTTTTATTTATTTATTATTATACTTTAAGTTTTAGGGTACATGTGCACATTGTGCAGGTTAGTAACATACGTATACATGTGCCATGCTGGTGTGCTGCCCCCACTAACTCGTCATCTAGCATTAGGTATATCTCCCAATGCTATCCCTCCCCCCTCCCCCCACCCCACAGCAGTCCCCAGAGTGTGATGTTCCCCTTCCTGTGTCCATATGATCTCATTGTTCAATTCCCACCTATGAGTGAGAATATGCGGTGTTTGGTTTTTTGTTCTTGCGATAGTTTACTGAGAATGATGATTTCCAATTTCATCCATGTCCCTACAAAGGACATGAACTCATCATTTTTTATGGCTGCATAGTATTCCATGGTGTATATGTGCCACATTTTCTTAATCCAGTCTATCATTGTTGGACATTTGGGTTGGTTCCAAGTCTTTGCTATTGTGAATAGTGCCGCAATAAATATACGTGTGCATGTGTCTTTATAGCAGCATGATTTATAGTCCTTTGGGTATATACCCAGTAATGGGATGGCTGGGTCAAATGGTATTTCTAGTTCTAGATCCCTGAGGAATCGGCACACTGACTTCCACAATGGTTGAACTAGTTTACAGTCCCACCAACAGTGTAAAAGTGTTCCTATTTCTCCACATCCTCTCCAGGACCTGTTGTTTCCTGACTTTTTAATGATTGCCATTCTAACTGGTGTGAGATGGTATCTCATTGTGGTTTTGATTTGCATTTCTCTGATGGCCAGTGATGGTGAGCATTTTTTCATGTGTTTTTTGGCTGCATAAATGTCTTCTTTTGAGAAGTGTCTGTTCATGTCCTTCGCCTACTTTTTGATGGGGTTGTTTGTTTTTTTCTTGTAAATTTGTTGGTGTTCATTGTAGATTCTGGATATTAGCCCTTTGTCAGATGAGTAAGTTGCAAAAATTTTCTCCCATTTTGTAGGTTGCCTGCTCACTCTGATGGTAGTTTCTTTTGCTATGCAGAAGCTTTTTAGTTTAATTAGATCCCATTTGTCAATTTTGTCTTTTGTTGCCATTGCTTTTGGTGTTTTAGACATGAAGTCCTTGCCCATGCCTATGTCCTGAATGGTAATGCCTAGGTTTTCTTCTAGGGTCTTTATGGTTTTAGGTCTAACATTTAAGTCTTTAATCCATCTTGAATTGATTTTTGTATAAGGTGTAAGGAAGGGATCCAGTTTCAGCTTTCTACATATGGCTAGCCAGTTTTCCCAGCACCATTTATTAAATAGGGAATCCTTTCCCCATTGCTTGTTTTTCTCAGGTTTGTCAAAGATCAGATAGTTGTAGACATGTGGCGTTATTTCTGAGGGCTCTGTTCTGTTCCATTGATCTATATCTCTGTTTTGGTACCAGTACCATGCTGTTTTGGTTACTGTAGCCTTGTAGTATAGTTTGAAGTCAGGTAGTGTGATGCCTCCAGCTTTGTTCTTTTGGCTTAGGATTGACTTGGCGATGCGGGCTCTTTTTTGGTTCCATATGAACTTTAAAGTATTTTTTTCCAATTCTGTGAAGAAAGGCATTGGTAGCTTGATGGGGATGGCATTGAATCTGTAAATTACCTTGGGCAGTATGGCCATTTTCACGATATTGATTCTTCCTACCCATGAGCATGGAATATTCTTCCATTAAATTACAATAACTTCTAACACTGAATTAAAACACATAAATGCAATGGAAATAATTGAATCCCTGAGTAGGAGAGGGCAAATGGTGGTATATAATCACCAAAGGTAAGGTTTATTACTGTAATAGACAGCAAAGTTAATACAGTAATCAGAATAGTATGACTAAAAGAGACCTATGGTGTTGCTTGTTGATGTTCCTAGAAGTGAAATAAGTGGGCATTCACTAAATTCTTATTTAATTTATACATGCAAAGAAGTCTAGGTCAACTTAAACTAACTTAAACATATAAACAGTGATTCATGCCCCCTTCAACCAATTCTCAGATTTGAGCCAGTTAACAGATCCAAAACCACGTGAATGGAGAAAGACCAGGTATCTTTGAAGAAGCACACTGCTATACTGCCAACAATTTATGCTGCTAATATTTCTCCCAGTCGTTCGCCAAAAGAATTTATAACTTTTTGCCAGGTGATTGTGCATCAGGGAAAAGAAAATAATCAGACTTTGGGGGAATTACTTGACACTGGCTGTGAAATTACATTGATTCAAAAGACCTGAAAACATCTCTATAGTCCACTGGTCAGAGTAGGAGCTTATGGAGGTGAGATAATGAAGCTTTAACAGACCCACCTGCTTGTAGGTCCAGTGGGTCACTGAACGCATCCTGTGGTTATTTTTTCAGTTGTGGAAACCACAATTACAATAGATACACTAAAAACTAGTAGAATGTCCACATTAGTTCCCTGACCAGTGGTGTGAGGACTATCATGGTGAGAAAGGTCAAGTGAAAGCTGCTAGAACTCCCTCTACCTAAGAAAATAAACCAAAAGCAATATTACATTTTCTGGAGGGCTTTCAGTTATTAATACCACTATCAACGACTTGAAATATGTAGGGGTAGTGATTCCCACTACACTTATATTCAACATACATATTTGATCACGTTCTTAAAACAGATGGATCTTGGAACATGACAGCAGATTATTGAGATTATTGTAGGCTTAGTTAGGTGATGACTCCAATTTCAGCTGCTCTATCAGATATAGTTTGATTGCTTGAGCAAATTAACACATCTGCTTGTGCTTAGCATATAGTTATTGATCTAGAATATGGTTTTTTCTCAATATCACTTAGTAAAGACCACCACAAGCAGTTTCTTTTCAGCTGGAAAGGCCAGTAATACACATTTGCTAATTTACTTCAAGGGTATAACAACTCTCCTGACTTCAGTCACAATCCCTCCACAAGTTATCATACTGGTCCATTATATCAGTGACATCATCCTGATTGGACCTGGTGAGCAACAAGTAGCAACTACTCTACATTTATTGGTAAGACTTTTCCATGTCAGAGTAGGAGAAAGAAATCTCATAAAAATTTAGGAGTCTTCTAACTCAGTGAAATTTTGAGGGCACCGTAGTATGGGATATGTTGAGATATGCTTTCTAAGGTGAAGGGTAAGTTGTTGAATTGAGCTCTTTCTTCTGAAAAAAAAAAGAAGAAGAAGACAGAAAATCACAACTCTTAGTGAGCCTCTTTAGAGTTGAGAAGGCAATATATTTCTCATTCAGATGTGCTACTCTGGCTCATTTACTAAGTGACCTAAAAAGCTGCAAATTTTGAGTGAAGTCCAGAACATGAGCAGGTTCTACAACAGTTTCACACTGCTGTTCAAGCCACTGTGCTAATTGGGCCATATGCTGCAGCATATCCAATGATGCCTGAAATCTCAATGGCAGATAGGAATGATACCTGGGGCCTTTGGCTAATCTCTATAGGCAAATTACAGTGCAGAAGCTTAGGATATTGGAACAATACCTGCCATCATCTGTACATAACTATTCTTTTTTTGGATAAATAGCTTTTGGTTTGCTAGTGGGCCTTAGTAAAGATTGAAGCTTAATTATGGGCTGCCAAGTTATCGTGCAAACTTAGCTGCCCTTCATCAACTTGGTATTTTCTACCCCACCAAGTCATAAAATCGGACATGTGCAGCAGCACTCCATCACGAAATGGAAGTGGTATATTTATATAAGATTGGGCTCAAAAGGCCCTGAAGTGCAAGTAAGTTGTTAATATATGAAGAATAGCCCTAATGCTCATGGTCCCGGCTCCTGCAAAATTACATTTTCTCAGAGTGTACCTATGGCTTCATGGAGAGTTTCCTATGATCAACTGATAGAAGAAGAGAAATTTGGCATATCTCACAGATGGTTCTGCATAATATGCAGATACCATCCAATAGTCAACAGTTTCAGACTAAAGTCCCTGTCTTTCTGGGGCATTTCTGAAAGACACTAGTAAAGAAAATTTCTCCCAGTAGACAGAACTTCAGGCAGCTTTCCTGGTTGTTACTTTTGCTTGGAAGGATAAATAGACAGAGAACAGATGAAAAACTGAAGACATTTGTAGCCTATGTGAATGCTCACTAAAGGGTGTAATCAGCAGGGGAGAATTTTAATCATTAATTGTTTAGAACAAGCCATTTGTGGATGCAACTCAGCCTTTTTCCCCAGACACTCATATTTATTTTTCTCAATGGGCTAATGAATAATGTTTATTGTAATGCTTAGGGCAACCACTAAAAAAACCCTCAAAATATGAAGTAAAAGAAACAACGAAGATTGGCTTTAAATTGCTGTGGTAGAAAGTATCTATTTTACACAAAAGAATCTATTAATGGAAAACGTTTTTAATGATAGAAGACATGTAAAATTCACATACCAATAGTAGGTTTAAGTCATTTTAAGCAATAATTATATTAAAGATATTATGGATTAAACTCCCCAGGGTAAAAACATCAAGAAGATATAACAATATATGCAACTAATAATAGAACCCCAAATAAATGTAGCAGACTGACAGAGTTGAAAGAAGATATATCCACACAGCAATCATAGTTGGAGGTTTCAAAACCCCAATTGGAATAACAGTTTTAACAACTAGAGAGAAGATCCAAAAGACAACAGAAAGCTTGAACAATGGTATAAACCAAATAGATCTAACAGATATATGTCAAACATTCAACCCCCACAAAACAGCAGAACACACATTTTTCTAAAGGGAACATGAAATATTCTTCAGGATAGACTATGTTAGGCTATAAAACAATTAACAATAAATTTAAAACAATTTAAATCACACAGAATATGTTTTTAGGCCATGATAGAATGAAATCTAGAAATCAATAACAAAAAGATTAGAAAATCTGTGTGTACATTCAACGGCACACTCTGAAATAATCAATGGGTCACATAAGAAATCAAAAGGGATATTTAAAAATTCAAAAATACTCTGAGACTACAAAAACAAAAATGCAACACAACAAAGCTAATGGGAATTTTTGACCAACAGTGCTAAGAAGATTGATAGCTCTCAATTTCTACATAAAAAATAAAGAATGCTCTTAGAACAATAAAATAAGTGTTTAATTACTACAAAAGAAAGCAAACAAAACATAATGCAAGAAGAAGGAAAGAAATAATAATGACTAGTTATAAATATAATAAGTAATAAAAAATAGAAACAACAAAACCAAAAGTTAGTTCTTTAAAAATTTCAGCACAATTGACAGTTACCTAGACTTATAAGGAATAAAAAAGAAAAAGTCAAATGACTAAAATATTAAATAAAGGACATTACTGATGACCTAAAGTAATAAAACTACTTTTAAAGAGGTACTATAAACAATTATATAACAAAAAATTTTATAATCTAGATGAAATATACCAATTTTTAGAAAGACTCTAACTACCAAAACTGACTCAAAAAGAAATAAAAAATCTGAATAGAACTGCAAGTAAAGAGACTCCAAAAAATTATCCACTTAGGAAACTAAAGTCCCAGCTGAACTCATTGTTGAATTTTATGAAATCTTTAAAAAAGAATAAAAAGCAACCAGTCTTAAGCTCCACCAAAACATACTAAAAAAGAGAACACTTACTAATTTTATAATTTTATAAAGCCAAAATTACTCTGCTATCAATGGTAAACAAAGACTTCATGAAACAAAATAAAACAGAAAACAAGACCAATATCCATTATGAATACAGACAGAGAACTTTTCAACAAAACTCAAATAAATTAAGTCCAATAGCTTATCAATAGAATTATACATGATACCCAAGTAAAATTTATCTGAGGAATGCAAGCCTTGTTCCACATATGAAGCTCTATTAATAAAATACGAAATGATAGTAAAATAAAGAAAAACAAGATCATCTCAAATGTAGAAAAAACTGATAAAATCTAACCCAATATTTTCATTATAAAAACTCACAACAAATTAGGAAGAGGAAAAAAATTCCCTAAACATGATAAAGAGCATTTCTGAAAAAAACAGAGGTTGCATAACATTAAAAAAATGAAAGACTGAAAGTTTTTCCCCTAAGGTCAGGGAGAAGACAAACATGATGACTTTTGCCACCATTATTCAACACTGTGGTAGATGTTCTAGCCAGAACTATTAAGGACGAAAAAGAAATAAAAGCCATCCAAATTGAGAAGGAGGAAGTAAAACTTTTTCTATTTGAAGAGAACATGGTCATGGTATAAAAACCACCCTAAATAATCCACCTTAAAATCTATAAGAGTTAATACACAAGTTCAACAAAATTGCAAGATATAAGATAAATATACAAAATTAGTTTTACTTTTTTAAAGTAACACTAAAAAATTCAAAAATTAATGCAACAAAATTTTAATTTATAATAGCATCAAATATAATAAAATTCTTAGAAATAAACAAAGTCAATAAAAGGCTTGTACACTGAATACACTGAAACTACAAAATAGTGTTAAAATATATTAAGGAAGAACTAAATGACTGTAAAGAGATTTTGTGTTAATGAATTGGAAGACTTAATATTACTAAGGTGTCTGGGTTCCCCAAATTGATATAGAGATTTGAAATGATTTCCATAAACATTTCAATTGTCTTTTTTTGCAAAAGTGAACAAGCTGCTCTGAAATTTATATGAAATTGCAAGGGACCCAACATGACCATTCTGAAAAAGAAGAACAACATTTGTGGACTCACACTTTCCAATTTCAAAATGTATTACAATGCCATAGTAATCAAAATATCATTGTAGTGACATAAGAATCTACATATATATCAATAAAATGTAATTTAAAGTACAGAAGTAAAGACATATTAAGGTGATAATTTTTTTTAACAAGGGTGTCATTCAGTGGGAGAAGAATGAGTCTTTTTAGTAAATGATGCTTGGATAGCTGGAATTTCACATGCAAAAGACTACAGTTAGATCCGTTTCTCACAAAATATACAATACAGGTTGAGTATCCCTTATTCAAAATATTTGAGACTAGAAGTATTTTAGATTTTGGATTTTTTGGGGATTTGGAATACTTGCATTATGCTTAGTGGTTCAGCATTCCAAATCCAAAAATTCAAGATCTGAAATGTTCCAATGAGCATTTTCTTTGAGTTTATTTCTGTGCTCAAAGACTTCCAAATTTTGGAGCATTTGAGATATTGGGATTCTAGATTTAGAATGTTCAAGCTGTAATTAACACAAAATTTATCAAAGATCCAAGGGTAAGTGCAAAAATTACAGAATACTTACAAACATAAGTGTAAATGTTCATGGTCATTGTTTAGACAACAGTTCCTTAAATATGACAACAAAAGCTCAAGCAACAAAGGAAAAATAAATCAATAAATTGGGCTTTGTCAAAATTA